>NC_000006.12:2787272-2938787 GCF_000001405.40 Homo sapiens | reverse complement strand
TCTATTACTGCACATGCTCAAAACCTTGTCTGGGACTGCCTTGCTAACTCCAGGTGTCTTCTGTCTGTTGCAAGACTCCTGTTATTCCCAGCGCCAGCCATGGCCACTTATTACCCTAGAGGGATAGTTTTATGCCCTTCAATCCCGGTCCCAATGAGAACCAGACAGCTCTGGGGTCCCTTCCTTGTCTTGCTCATTATTTCAGAGGGACAGATTTATAATTGTGACTGTGGCTTGACAAATGTCCAACATTCTTGGGGGCCCGTGCATGCCCTGCTCACGTCTAACCGCCTACTCTGACATTCTCATCACAAAAAAAATAGATGAGGTAATGCGTATGGGAATTAGCTTGTTTTAGCCATTCCACTGATATGGAAGGGTGTGCTCTCTTTAAATAACATGGCGGGGGGGGGAAGGGCGTGGTCCCTGGCTAGGGCTCCAACCCTGGGCCTGTGCCCACGGACCTAGTTGAGGACAGGCATTTTTGTTTTCCTGCCCCAATGTTGCACTTCTCAAGACCACCCTGGCCTGCCACGCCCCTACCCTGTGCCTGTAAAACCCTGAGACGCTAGCAGGCAGACACACAGGTGGCTGCATATCGAGAGGAGTACATCAGTGGAGGAACACACGAGCGGCTGGAAGTTGAGAGGAATGGGATGCACCAGCAGGCACCGGCATGCAGGCAGGCCATCCACCGGCAGAACAACGCAGTTTGACGGGGGCAGTTGAAGGAGAGCCCAGGTTGCCAGACTTACCTTGCACTCATTCTCCAAGCCCACATGTGATCCGATTCTTCTGGTACACCAAGGCAGGAACCCCAGGATACAGAAAGCCCTCTGTCCTTGCGATAAGGTAGGGGTCTGATTGAACTGGTTAACACAAGCCACCTATGGATAGCTAAACTAAAAAAGCACTCTAACACATGCCCAGTGGAGCTTCAGGAGTTGTAAACATTCAGCCCTAGACACTGCAAAAGGGTTGGAGCCCCACAGCCTACCTGTCTGTATTCTCTCCTAAAAGTTGGAGCAGCAGGGCACTAAAGTGAGCCATCAGCCCCATCACACATCCCGAGAGGAACAAGGGAACTTGCCCAGTTTCACTACCATGTAAGCATGTATCAAAACATAACATTGCAAAAGTCTACACAACTATTACTTGTCCATTTTTTAAAAATTCACTGCAAGTGATTTTTATTAGAGGACCTAAGACTGTCAAATCGTTCTTTAAAAATGTTTGGAAAAGATCAAATTGAATTTTTAAAATTCACAATTTAAACTTTAAATATACGTTATTCTCAAAGTACAGTTATTTGCTATGCAGTGAATTGTGCCCAGCCCCCTCCACAAATTCATACGTTGAAACCTTAACACGTAATTCATGATTTTAAACGAGAAATTTTTACAGTTAAGGTTGCTAAAAACAACCATCACCAAAAACACTGTGCTGGTGGGTTCATTGGTCTTACTGACTTCGGGAATGAAGCCACAGACCCGTGTGGTGTTACAAGTTCTTTAAAGCGGTATGTCCTCCCTTTACTTCTTTCATGGTGGGCTTAGCGATCTCATCGGCTCAAGAGTAAAGCTCTAAAACATTCAGTGAGTGTCATAAACTACATAACGCCATACGCTCCTGATAGTTGTTTAACTCTACAAATGGGTTGGTTCTATTTTCATACCTTCAAAAACAAAACCACAGAGCTTTACAAAGAATGTTACAGCTCATACAGGAAACAAAACCGAAAAACAGCACATTTACTGAAAAAAAGAGAAAAAAAAAAAAAAAAGCAAGAAGAATAACCATTTTCACTACATTGAAGCAGATCTCAGCAAACATACCACGGCTAACTCCGACAGCCTGCTTTTATTCCCTTATCTGGCCCCACCCACATCTTGCTGATTGGTCCATTTTACAGAAAGCTGACTGGTCTGTTTTACAGAGAGCTGATTGGTCCGTTTTGCCAGGGTGCTGATTGGTGCGTTTACAATCCCTGAGCTAGACACAAAAGTTTTCCAAGTACCCACTAGATTAGCTAGACACAGAGCACTGATTGGTGCATTTACAAATCTTGAGCTAGACACAGGGTACTGATCGGTGCATTTCCAAACCTTGAGCTAGATACAGAGTGCCGATTGGTGTATTCACAATCCCTTAGCTAGACATGAAGGTTCTCCAAGTCCCCACCAGATCAGCTAGACACAGAGTGCTGATTGGTGCATTTACAAACCTCGAGTTAGATTAAGAGTGCTGATTGGTGTATTCACAATCCCTTAGCTAGACATAAAGATTCTCCAAGTCCCCCCAGATTAACTAGAATACAGAGTGCCGATTGGTGTATTTACAATCCCTTAGCTAGACAGAAAGATTCTCCAAGTCTCCACCAGATCAGCTAGACACAGAGTGCTGATTGGTGCATTTACAAAACTTGAGCTAGATACAGAGTGCCGATTGGTGTATTCACAATCCCTTAGCTAGACATAAAGATTTTCCAAGTCCCTAATAGACTCAGCAGCCCAGCTGGCTTCACCTAGTGGATCTCGCACTGGGGCCGTGGGTGGAGCTACCTGCCCATCCCATGCCGTGCGCCCGCACTTCTCAGTCCTTGGGCGGTTGATGGGACCGGGTGCCCTGGAGCAGGGGGCGGTGCTCGTTGGGGAGGCTCAGGCTGCGCGGGAGCCCACGGCGGCGGCGGTAACGCGGGGGAGACTTAGGCATGGTGGGCTGCAGGTCCCAAGCCCTACCCCGCAAGAAGGTAGCTAAGGCCCGGTGAGAAATCGAGCACAGCGCCGGTGGGCCAGCAGTGCTGGGGAACCCAGCACACCCTCCGCAGCTGTTGGCCTGGGTGCTAAGCCCCTCACTACCTGGGGCAGGTAGGGCCGGCCGGCGGCTCCGAGTGCGGGCCCGCCAACCCCACGCCCACCCGGAACTCTAGCTGGCCCGCAAGCGCTGTGCGCAGCCCCGGTTCCCACCCGTGCCTCTCCCTCCACACCTCCCCGCAAGCCGAGGGAGCTGGCTCCGGCCTCAGCCAGCCCAGAGAAGGGCTCCTCAAGCGTAGCCAGAATGGGCGCCGAGGCCAAGGAGGCAGGGAGAGCAAGCGAGGGCTGCCAGCATGCTGTCACCTCTCACTGGCATCCTGATCTTCGACTTTGGGGCCTCCAGAACTGTGAGCAAATACATTTCTGTTGTTTGAGCTGCCTGGTCTATGGTATTTTGTATGGGAGCCTAAGCTCACTAAGACATTATTCTTGGTGCACATTCATACACTGTAATTCATTTCTTAACTGAATCTACCTCTTATCAAACATCACTGGTATTTTTCCTCAATAAGGTATTTTTCAATAGGATCTTATTAAGAAAATTTTTATAAATTGCACTTTATTGTCAATAAATGTAAAATTACTATCATGGTCAATTGACTCTTGTCTGTTGACCATAGGTCCTGTGTGACCTATGCAGCATGCAGGGCTCCACATTCACAGGGATACACACTTGGATGGATGTTTTACTGTCATCAGTTTGAAATTATTTGTAGTTTTCGAACAGAGGATCCTGCATTTTCATTTTGCAATGGGCCCTGCAAATTATGTAGCTGTTCCTGCTGTTAGACTAAGGAATTTTTATGGAGAAAACACTCTTCAGGAGCTGAGAGACGTGGTAAGCTCAGAGCAAATTCTAACAAATGAAGAACTGTCTCAATTCTAATTTTTCTCATATTAAAATGCACAAGTATTTCAGTCTGAATATTTCCACAGTTACAATCTTTTTGCCTGCATACAATGTGTTTCTTTTCCAAATACTTTTATCAGACAAAGCTTATCAAATGACTGACTTAAATAATCCTTTTGAAGTTTTCACCAAATTTTTGTGCAGCAAACTTTTTGGACATCCCAGTTTCACTGCATTCTAATATAGCCTGTAAATTTATCCAATTAAAAATAGGAAGTCCATCTAAAGTTTCTTCCTCCAAGTCAAGATACGCCAAAATTCAATTACAGAATTTGAGAAAGTTAAGTCCTATTCACTATTAAGCTGATGCTGTTTAATTAGTTTCTCCTTTGGTTTTGTAGAACTTTGAATATCTTCCTGTTTGCAAACTTTGTTTTCTATGATTTCAAGTAGCTAAAAGCCTCCAAAATTACATTTTTGGGTGCTTCACTCTGAATATTTTGACTATTTCTAACTGATTTTGAACAAAATGCACCTGAAATTTAGAGGACTCAGTTCAAAGAAGGTTAGTAACATTACAGAGCATTTCGGCTGATTTAAAATCGTTCTCCAAAAGAGCACACACAACTACATTTCAATTGCTCATGGGCAGCAAAGATGAAAAGCAGGCACTGCCATCAATACATCATCAATATCATATCATATTTGTATTCATCAGCAGCTTCATCACAAATATTCTGTAGGAACTATATAAAGAAAATTCATACATTTTGATAACTACAAGATGCTATTTTGAACAGAAGAATATTGCGGCTTGATTAATAAAATTCAAAATGTGTGTTCATCTTAACCAACTCCAAGGTTGTGACTCATCAAATTTGATTTGTATGAAAACCTTCCCTGATGCACATTTTAACTAATTTTTTTTTGAGATGGAGTCTCACTCTGTTGCCCAGGCTTAACTACATTTTTAACAGCATTTATTCACAACATATTATATATTTTCCCTGTGGGAAAGGGAACTTCTAAAAGCTTATTTTTAATTCTATCCATGAATTAGATGAAAACCTTACACTGCTTTTTAATTTGAAACATCTGATGAAACTTACTTGAACAAAATGAAAGTTTTTCTTCTGCTAATGCAGCCAATGCTTCCATGTATTGCTTTACTTTTTGAAAATGACAGAAATTAACTTCAAATAGCAGTCATTTGATCAAATGAACAGCCTGCTTTACAAACTAATATATAAATATATCCTCTGCAATGCACTTGATAGATTATTATCTTTGGACAGAATTTTCTTTCTTTCTTTCTTTCTTTTTTTTTTTTTTTTTTTGGAGACTGAGTCTCACTCTGTCGCCCAGGCTGGAGTTCAGTGACGTTTATCTTGGCTCACTGCAACCTCCGCCTCCCAGGTTCAGGCGATTCTCCTGCCTCAGCCTCCAGAGTAGCTGAGACTATAGGCACCTGCCACCACACCTGGCTAATTTTTGTATTTTTAGTAGAGACAGAGTTTCACCATATTGGCCACGCTGGTCTCAAACCCTGACCTTGTGATCCACCTGCCTCGGCCTCCCAAGGTGCTGGGATTACAGGGGTGAGCCACCGTGCCCGGCCAGAATTTTCTTAAAATAAGTTCTAACTTTTGAAGGAGGTGCTAGTATTTCCTTATAGATTAGCATCTTATAGTTTTTACATGGTCAGAGATAGCACTATGGTGCCACTGGTGAGTGGTAAGCAGCAACATTTTGTGCACACTAAACATTCCACCTCTTGTGATATGAAAATTCAGTACTTAATTTTTGAGCTCACTGTTTGCTAAAAGGATTTATTGCAAAATTAAAGTATAGCCAAACAGGCTGGGTGCGGTGGCTCTTGCCTGTAATTCCAGCACTTTGGGAGGCCGAGGTAGGTGGATCACCTGAGGTCAGGAGCTCGAGACCAGCCTGGCCAACATGGCGAAACTGTGTCTCTACTAAAAATACAAAAAATTAGCCAGTTACGCTGGCGGGCGCCTGTAATCCCAGTGCTCAGGAAGCTGAGGCAGGAGAATCGCTTGAACCTGAGAGGCGGAGGTTGTGGTGAGCCGAGATGGTGCGACTGCATTCCAGCCTGAGTGACACAGTGAGACTCTGTCTCAAAATAATAAAATTAAGTAAAAAAGTATAGTCAAACAATAAAATAAATGGCTGTAGATTTTCCTATATAATGAATAACAAAACCACTGTAGCAAGAGAGTTTGGGCTTATATCTATAATAATTTATAGCCTCTATTTCCTCTATTTAAATATGCCTCTATTTTTATATAGCCTCTATTTAAATATGCCTAAATTATAGTTTAAACTGTGTACCTAAACTATACTTTTCCACGTTTCCAACTGACTGCCAAATGATGGCTTCTCAAAAGCCACAGCACGAGCCACATTACAACCCAGTGGCTGTCAGGGGAAAGCAGTCCCAAATAATTATCTCCACAGTACTAGAGTCCAGAAGGACGTAGCTGTCCCTAGCTGCTTGTGAACAAGGATTAAGTTGTTTTATCAGTGAGTGAGTTCCTTATGTCCTGTCCTTGAAGGGGGAGACTTCTGGAAAGGATCAGACTCACAAGTTGCCTGTCAGATTTAACCAAGATTAAAGTGAGCATCCTGCACCTGCTGAGTCACTTAGCAATTGATTGTCTCTTGGCTCTAGAGCCTCCTCTCATGTAACCCTGGAGTTGCTGTCACTTCCCTAGATGGCACAATGCTACGCTTCGTCACTAGAGGGTGCCAGTGAGACACTGCCAGGAAAGCCCGGTAGAAAGACACCTGTCGTTCCCAGTTCTGGTTCTCCTGTAACCACTCAGTGCAGGGTCCAGCAGCCCACACAGACCATCTCTAGCCTCATTCTCATGTTTTCTCCATGCAACAGCCATTTCTGCAGTCGCAACAGCTGCAACCTCAGGCAGCTGTGTCCCTACCTGGCCTTTTGCTTCTGCGGACGGCTCTGGCCTGCCACACCCTCTGGCAATGGCAGACAGCTCCTGGTGGCCCACTCTGACCCATGCACTCTGCCAGCAGCAGCTGCATGTTTCTGTGACAGCTGCATCCTCTTCAAAAAGATCTGAGTTTCAGCCCGAAGTGTGTGTGGGGTGGGGGTGCGGTAAAGGTCTCCTAACACTTTAGTCTTTCCTCATCCATTCTCACTGGGCCTGTGGGTAACAGCTGCCCCTTTTTCACATGCTGCGTCTGTGCCCCTTTTCCTAACAATCCTTTATATTCTCCTCTGTTCACATAGCTGATGTGGCTTTGTCTCCTGAGTGGACCCTGACAGGTGTAAGTGTAGTGGGAGCTCACAGTACAAAGTAAAGACCTGCCAACCCCCCTCCTGTAGCTGTTACTAACAACACTTCATTGAAAATGAAAAGCCTGTGACAAATGCTGACCCAGGCAGGACACCAAGGCAACAGGTATAACTGGGACTGTCCCAGACAAGCCATGCTGTATGGTCATCCTGCTGACATGCCATATTCCAAGAGGAGATGAGGATTAATATTTCCTATTTAATTTTCCTGTCTGCATTGCATGCAGTCAGAGCACCCCAACAAGGAATGGATACATTTAGAAGACAAACAGGCCTCCCTAACTGCCACCCAACTCCTTGTCATTTAATACTTCCAGGTAATACCCCTGGAATTAATAGGGTTTCTCATTCGACAAGGCACTAAGGAGACGCTAATGGCAGCTTCCAGGTGGGATCATGTCCGAAACACATGTTTCTCTCACAAGCTCCTTCAAACAGAAAAATCCGACAAACTAATTAATATGACGCTTTTCGAATTGAGGTCCACCGGGTTCCACACATTCCTGGGTCAGCAAGCATTCTCCAACATTTCTCTTCAGTGGCCTGCTTTCATTTGCTAATGATCTTTGAAAAGAGGGTTGGTTAATTTGATATTTACATTTTTTTTTCTTTTGGAATAGCAAGAATTCCAAATGTAATGACCTGTTCTGTGAAAAGTGGCGATTAGTGGAATACCTAGCAAATATTTTTGAAAAACTGTAATGGATTGCCTTTGTAGGTAAAGATGCATCTTATTGAAAGAGGGTGGAATGATCATTTTAAAACATCTATTTGAAAGTTTTTCTTTCCCTTGTTAAATGATGTTATTGCTACAAAATGATGTTAAAACTCATATACTTATTTTTAACACTTGGAAATGTAATTTTATAACCTTTAAAAAACTCTTCCAAGGGCTGGGCATGGTGGCTCAGGCCTGTAATCCCAGCACTTTGGGAGTCTGAGGGGGGCAGATTGCCTGAGCTGAGGAGTTCGAGACCAGCCTGGGCAACACAGAGAAACCCCGTCTCTACTAAAATACAAAAAATTAGCCCAGCGTGGCAGCATGTGCCTGTAATCCCAGCTACTTGAGAGGCTGAGGCAGGAGAATTGCTTGAACCTGGGAGGCGGACGTTGCAGTGAGCTGAGATCGTGCCATTGCACTCCAGCCTGGGCAACAGAGCGAGACTCCATCTCAAAACAAAAACAAAAACAAACAAAAAACTCTTCCAAAAAGAAGAGGTTTGGTTGGTTTCAAATAATTAAAAATATAAATATATAAAATCTTAAATATTATAATTAGACATAGATTGACAATCAAACATCAAGGCTTAGTAAGCTTTTATCAATGTTTTTATTTTATTTAAATCAACCCATATAATCCCAGTGCTTTGGGAGGCTGAGGTGGGAGGATTGCTTGAGTCCAGGAGTTTGAGCCCGAAGCGAGCTATTGTTAGGGAAGCGGGAGCCCAGGAGAGCCAGAATAACGCCATTTTAAGTTCAGCTTCATCTTGAGACTAATGAGGCACATTCTTTTCCAGTCACCACCCATGGTCATAAGATATTTACACTTAAGGAAACAGCTTAAAGACACCTGCAGGGACACAGTCCTACAGCAACAGAAAGTCAAGATGTCCCAATGCCCATAGCAATATATGCTTTCAAGATAATTATTGTTTGAGACTCAGTCTTGCTCTGTCGCCCAGGCTGGGGTGCAAGTGGTGTGATCTCAGCTCACTACAACCTCTGCCTCCTGGGTTTCAGCGATTCTCCTGCCTCAGCCTCCCTAGTAGCTGAGACTACAGGCGCGCATCACCACGCCCGGCTAATTTTTGTATTTTTTAGTAGAGACGGGGTTTCACCATCTTGGCCAGGCTGGTTTTGAACTCCTGACCTTGTGATCTGCCTGCCTTGGTCTCCCAAAGTGCTGGGATTACAGGCATGAGCCACCATGCCTGGCTGCTTTCAAGATACTTGTATTTATGCTTTTACGTACATACACACTAAAACTAAAAACAAACAAAAAAACAAAACACAAGGATAGTTTTCTTTAAATCAACAGAATAATAAATTTTGTCATGCCTTCAGCCTACCCACACATAGATGTGGCTTAGCTTAGCTTTTACATAAACAAGACCTGCTACATAAGAAAAACTTAAAGATGAGTTCCTCCTCTTGCTTTCTGAGGACACTGTACTCTGTATCTGAGTAGCTTTCAATAAACAATGTCTTCTCACTGCACCCTGAGACTTGCCTTGAATTTCTTCCTGCATGAGATCCAAGAACCCTCTCCTGGGGTCTGGATCAGGACCTCTTTTTCTAGTAACACTATGATCGCACCACTGCAGTCCAGCCTGGGCCACACACTCTTGTGGGTTTGTGTGTAATTGTGTGTTGTGTATGTGTCCGGGAAATTGACTGTCTTTTTTTAATTAATTTATTTTTTTTTAATGGAGTCTTGCTCTGTCGCCCAGGCTGGAGTACAGTGGTGCGATCTCGGATCACTGCAACCTCCGCCTCCCAGGTTCAAGCAATTCTCCTGCCTCAGCCTCCCAAGCAGCTGGGACTACAGGTGCGCACCAGCTCTGGTGGTGTATTTTCAGTAGAGACAGGGTTTTGTCTTGTTGGCCAGGCTGGTCTTGAACTCCTGACCTCAAGTGATCCACTTGCCTCGGCCTCCCAAAGTGCTGGGATTACAGGCGTGAGCCACCGCGCCCAGCCAAGTGAATGTCTTTTGTGGGCACCAGACAGCGGGATTGGCTCCTCTCAAGTGAGAAATTCCAAAGGAATTTTTGTTTGCATATTGATCAAGCCCAACCAATGGAGACAGGAAGCACCAGCTGGTCCAGCTGCTTCAGTTTGGACACTTGGGGCTTGTTTGTTGCTGCATCAGTTGGATTGTGTTTTGGGGATTGTTTGGTGTGTGTCGATACAGTCATGGGAAACCTGAATCTGATAAACTGATATTCTTTTGTAATACTGTTTAGCCCCAATATTCTTTGGAATCTGGAATTTGCTGTTGATTGAGAAAGTGGGATGGAGGTCCCTGTATCCAGGCATTTACGTTGCTGTTCTAAGCAGGGTTAGGCCTGGTTAGCAGGTTTCAGGTGATGTTCTTCTGTGGGGCTGTTTGCCCCCACTGTTCTTTGAAGTCTGAGGAGGTTTTGGCATTTAAAAATCAAACTGCCATGAAAATTGCTTTACTCAAAATTTTGGTTCAAAGCCTTCATTGGATTACCTATCTTTCGGGGGACCTGCCCCGAAAATCACACAGGTTCTTTTCTATTTTCCTAAGCGTCGACCAGCTTGAGAAATAAAAGGACAGAGTACAAAAGAGAGAAATTTTAAAGCTGGGCGTCCGGGGGAGACATCACACGTTGGTAGGATCCGTGATGCCCCACAAGCCACAAAAACCAGCAAGTTTTTATTAGGGATTTTCAAAAGGGGAGGGAGTGTGCGAATAGGTGTGGGTGACAGACATCAAGTACTTAACACGGTAATAGAATATCACAAGGCAAGTGGAGACAGGGCGAGATCACAGGACCACAGCTCCGAGGCGAAATTAAAATTGCTAATGAAGTTTCGGGCACCATTGTCATGGGTAACATCTTATCAGGAGACAGGGTTTTGAGATCAACCGGTCTGACCAAAATTTATTAGGCGGGAATTTCCTCTTCCTAATAAGCCTGGGAACGCTATGGGAGACTGCAGTTTATTTCACCC
The DNA here is from genome assembly GCF_000001405.40 of Homo sapiens. Lineage (NCBI taxonomy): Eukaryota > Metazoa > Chordata > Mammalia > Primates > Hominidae > Homo > Homo sapiens. The sequence goes on along the minus strand of NC_000006.12, from coordinate 2,928,082 downwards.
CTGCAGTCTCAACCATAAGAGACAGGTACGCCCCGGCGGGGGGCCAGCTCAGAGACCTACCTCTAGGTGCGCATTCTCTTTCTCAGGGACGTTCCATGCTGAGAAAAAGAATTCAGTGATATTTCTCCCATTTGCTTTTGAAAGAAGAGAAATATGGCTCTGTTCTGCCCGGCTCACCAGTGGTCAGAGTTTAAGGTTATCTCTCTTATTCCCTGAACAATTGCTGTTATCCTGTTCTTTTTTCAGGATGCCCACATTTCATATTGCTCAAACACACATGCTGTACAATTTGTGTAGTTAACGCAATTATTACAGGATCCTGAGACAATATACATCCTCCTCAACTGACAGGATTAAGAGATTAAATTAAAGACAGGCATAGGAAATCACAAGGGTATTGATTGGGGAAGTGATAAGTGTCCATGAAATCTTTACAATTTATGTTTAGAGATTGCAATAAAGACAGGCATAAGAAATTATAAAAGTATTAATTTGGGGAACTAATAAATGTCCATAAAATCTTCACAATCCACATTCTTCTGTCATGGCTTCAGCTGGTCCCTCCGTTTGGGGTCCCTGACTTCCCACAACACCTATCCAGGAAAAAAAGTTTAGCCATGGAAACCAGTGAGTTTATTTTGCTATCTCATGACTAGAGTTCTGAGGTAAAAGCTATTGGATTTTTGTTTATATGTGTGTATATATATATATGTCTAGATGTGTTTATGTATGTACATTTATTATGTTATATGTTGTATCTACCAAATTGGCTTATAAATGAAAGAGCTCTCATAAGTAAATCCAAAGTATTTTTTCAAGTTGATGTGACTTAAAAAAAATCTTTACTAAACAAGCTGGCTTTAAAATGTCTTCAGAATTGTCAGCATACATTTCTGCCTGGGTTTTATGTTTGTCTCTGCTAGATGTTTTGAGGTGTAACAGTTTGATATAGAGGGTTATAAAACCATAAACCCAGCCAAAATGAAATGATCTTGGTTTGTGTGCCTTTTTTGATAAATAAGACTAATTTAATGTTGTTAGCTAAATCTTCTGAGTTATTGGCAAAAATATCCAAATATTTAACTTTAAGGTTCTTACTTGTGTGAGCACCTGATGTTCACTGGCTATTAAAACAATTATTTGCAAGGAAATTACTAACTTTAAATGATGACTAGCTGTGTCTAATATCTCAGTTTTCAGAAGTAATCTAGGTAAACTGTTTAAAATGAAATAACTGAGTACATGTATATAGGATAAATGTAAGTGATCTTTTTTTGTAATTTAAAATCCTAAAATTATTTTTGATGTTCATTGGATGTCTGGGACATTTCCAATTAAGAAGAGGTTATGATATGGGGAAACATGTTTCTAAAATTGTTGTGGGGAAAAGAAAGAGAGATCAGATTGTTACTGTGTCTATGTAGAAAAGGAAGGCATAAGAAACTCCATCTTGATCGGTACTAAGAAAAATTGTTTCTGCTTTGAGATGCTGTTAACCTGTAACTTTAGCCCCAACCCTGTGCTCACAGAAACATGTGCTATATTGAATCAAAATTTAATGGATTTAGGGTTCTGTGGGATGTGCCTTGTGAGCAATATGTTTGCAGGCAGTATGCTTGGTAAAAGTCATCGCCATTCTCCATTCTCGATTAACCGGGGACACAACGCACTGCAGAAAGCTGCAGGGACCACTGCCCAAGAAAGCCTGGCTTTCCCCCCACTGAGACAGCCTGAGATATGGCCTTGTTGGAAAGGAAAGACCTTACCATGCCCCAGGCCCACACCGGTAAAGGGTCTGTGCTGAGGAGGAGTAGTGAAAGAGGGAGGCCTCTTTGCAGTTGAGATAAGAGGAAGGCTTCTGTCTCCTGCTCCTCCCTGGGATTGGAATGTCTCAGTGTAAAGCCGACCATTCCCATTCGTTCGATTCTGAGATAGGAGAAAACCACCCTGTGGCTAGAGGCAAGATAAGCTGGCAACAATGCTGCTCTGTTACTCTTTGCTACACTGAGATGTTTATGTAAAGTGAAAGATAAATCTGGCCTACGTGCACATCCAGGCACAGTACCTTTCCTTGAACTTATTCATGATACAGATTCCTTTGCTCACATGTTTCCCTGCTGACCTTCTCCCCACGTGTTGCCCTGCTACACTCCGCTGGCTAAGATAGTAAAAATAATGATCAGTAAATACTGAGGGAACTCAGAGGCGGGTGCTGGTGGCCCCCTTCAAATTGTCAAATGGTTCTCATCTATAAAATGCTAATGTCTGATAGGCAGCTCAGGACTTCTTGCTTCCTAGGTTTTCACTAAAATTTAAGGTTACTGAGGATAGGAATTATAGTTAATATATAATTCTGTATATAAAATGTGCCAAAGAAGATGTGTTCTTGTGAGATAAAGAATAATTTTGTCAGATTTAGAACTTATCTAAAGGTTAATTCAAATTATGGACTTGAAAAGGTTATTTATGAAAAGCGTAGTAAGGAACCAGTAAGTAGGGAAGAGAGATGGGAAGAAAGTTATGTATGTGAAGATGTATTTTTGTTAAGGAAGGTTATAAAGAAAAATAATTTTGTGTGAGAAAGGATATTGTATGGTGATTTTTTTTCCTAAAGTAAAATGACTAATTATTAAAAAACAGAGAGAAAATTTAGGACAAAACAGAAAATCCAAGCATGTGATAGATGGTCTGTGTAAATCATATGTAATTTTTTCTGTTTCTCTGTGTCTGTCTTCATGCACATACCAAAAAAAAAAAATAGCAAGTTGAGAAAGTTTAGATAATAAAATATTCTTTAAAACCTGATAGAAAATTGAAGACATTTGGCTAATTGACATTGTTCATAGTTAAAGCTCTTAGTCTTGATAAAGGTAGAATAAGAAATATTATAAAGAAATACATTGCCAGTTTGGCAATTCTTTTTAAATGTAGTTAAGTATGAAGCCAGATTACCATGGAGCGAAATTTCACACACACATTTGCACTGCTTCACACTATATTTGCAATTCTGCATAGATAGTACTAGCACCAAAGTAATTACTGGTCATATACCCAAAGTGAATGTCTTAATTGCACAAAATATATCATGTTATTGATAGACTTAAATACATTGAATTGTATATCAGGAACAAAATATCTATTATGTGTTTCTTTAAGATGCTGGTTAACACTTTAGCCTCTAAGGTAAACTGAGTAGGAGAACAATTGGGGTTGGTTTCCTGTTTATTTCCTTCTGCTTCTAATTTTCATTTATTTGCTGTTTGTTCTCCTTTGGGTTTTACATATATATGCATATATAAAACCATTGATGTTTTTAAGTTTCCCGTGGAAGTCTTTTATTTTGTTCTATAAATAGTCATTTTGTTTCCTATGCATTTCCAGCAATTCATCATTTGTTTTATTTATCTAAAATTCTTAAGCCCCTTTGTCAGGCATCCAAAAATTGATAAAGGACATCAGCCATTTAAATTTTGGTTGGTTTTGCTTGATGATGGGGAGAGCTACAAGACCTTTAAGGCACCTAGGAAAAAAATAAAAGACTAATTTTTGGAAGTTCTGAGCAGAAATAGCACATTATTTATTTTGTTACTTGAAGAAGTGGGTGAGAATGAAAATGTTTAAATGGTGTTTATTTCCAAGGTAATTCAATTCAGTCAATAATTTCAGTTGGTTTCAGATCTTTCCTTTAGGTAGTGAGGAAACACGGTGATATGAGTACAACATTTTAATGTTCAGGAAAGATTGGCTGTATCCTTAATGAAATTGTATTGCTTAGGATTATTCTGAAGCTAATTTAGTTGTGTTGACCATTATTAAAATGTAGTTGTGTTGGCCATTATTTTGTTGTGTTGACATTCACTTGGATTAAGTAGTAATAAAGAATGTGAGACTTTCTAGTGATTTTTGATCTCAAGCCGTTTATCACTGATGGGCTTTCATATGTGTACATGAAAAAAATATGTACAAGTGTTGCGCTGGTTTGAAGATTTTAGTGGTGAAAGTTACTTAATTCGTTCTCAGTACTGTATCTAGGAACTAATCTTGGAAATATGGGATGATGTTCTTTAAACATAGCTGAAAAGAAATTACTGTGTGCTTGTTCTTACCTCGTCTTTGCTCTGTTGTATACTATTTAAGTGAAAGGAGCTTATTTATCCTCATTGAATTTCTAAAACCGATATTTGCATTTACCATTTTTTAATGATGGAGAGAAAAGCTAGTTGTTTTGTTTTGATATGTTTGGTACAGGCCCCATCACTTTTGGATGCTTTGGGTCACAGTTCTGTCACCAGAACGCTAGCAACTAGATACTCGCAACGAGTAACCTAAATACTTTAATACAGTGGTTTGGAGTGTGCAGGCAGCAACTACTGAATGCCAAATCACAATATTTTAACTTGTGACATGTTAGAATGATAGAACTTTCCATAGTCTAAATAATATCCCTTTAACTAATCCTCCTGCTGTTAAGTTACAGGTCTTTGACTCCTGGGTCTGAAAAAGACACCAACCCCTGCTAAATTTTGAGCACTGATACCTGTCAAAGGCTCATCTTCAGACCCTCAGATCTGGGAGAAGGTGACAATCAAAATGAACTGCTTTTGTGAGACACAGGGCCAGAAATTAAAACTATTCAACCCTCTAGGCCCAGGGACTATTGCAGAAGAGGTGGGCCTATGGGATTGTAAGGGCCAATTTTGAGGGATAACATTAGTTCTGTAAATTAAACATTAATATCAAAAGTGCACTGGTGCAAGGCTAGCGTCTAGGCCCATATGTCTGAATAACAGGGTTTCTTGAAGCATTGATCTGTTCTTTAACAGAAAATCATAAACGGTTATAAAAAGTATATGGTAATCTTACCTTATGATTAAAATTAGATTTGTTTGTAAGGTTTTATCAAAATTAGCTTTAACATTAATAATACACCATACAAAGGTAAAATTCTGATTTTCTCTTTTGAACAAAATATTTGTGTAATATTAGTAAGAGATAAAAGATTTTTGTATACCTTTTTTGTAAACTAAAGCGAAAAAATGGAGGGGGAGAGACAGATTTCGTTGGCCTCATGCTGTGTTTATTAGGTTTTATTGTTTGGGAAGCTGAATCTCCTCTCTATCAAAAGGTAAATGTTTTTGTTTTATCATTTTGGCTAAATAAATGACTATTTTATAGTGACCTGTGGTTCTATTTTGTGATAATCAAGTATCTTAACACTGATATTTGGCAAACTTTCTAAGAGCAAAATTTCAAGTTCTAAATTCAGTCTTTTTGACCTCAAACTAACTTTTTTGAATATTAAATTCTCTGAAGCCCAAGAGAGACAATTTAGGCTTATTTGTTATGTTAGAATTATTCAGAAAGCACTGTCAAATCTGAGGTGGTGTTTAGCTTCCTTTGGGTTATATTTATATAGATATGTCGTTAATATTTGTTCCAGGATTGTATAAGATTCCTCAAATTCAGATATGTCTTAGTATATATTGTCAGTAGTAATTATGATTATTATGTTAAATTGTTGTATGCCATAGATGTAACCCACTGTCATTGACAACTGTATCTTTACAGCTGTCCTAAGACTTTTGTCATTCACAATTATTGTTTTGCTTTGATCCTTCTCAAAAAGTGACTTCTAATCAGCTATAGTCCAGGGTTTTCTTCTTTGGAGAAGTTCATGAAAAGAACTCTTGAAGTCAGGTTTCTGTTAACTTTGAAGATTGTGCCATTGGATTAGAGAGGATATTTCCAGGGTACTAGTTGAAAGGCTGATGTGCATAAAGATTACTAACCCAATATGAAGTAGAGCAGGAGTTGATTGCATGGATTGAACTGACGGAGGACTGAAATAATTTTTCATGGCCTTTTTTGTTTGTTTGAAACATTGCTGATTCTTCAGAGTCTGGAGAACGTTTTTCCTTTTGAGCTATTTATAGCCTTTAACAATTGAGTAGATTATACTTTTGTAAACTGAAATTAAGGCATATTTTGTTCTCTGCCTACTTTCTCCAGAATTTGTAATTCATTTATGAATATTCTTAATTCATGGCAATGTGTTTGTTTGCATAACTTCAATAGGAATCTGTTTTCTTGTATACTGGGACACAGTGGAGGAACTGGCTGTTTTCCCAGGGCTTTGACTGAAATGGCACTGTGAGAGGTTCCAGCCAGTCCAATCTAGGAGAGCCTATGTGGACAAGGATTCTTGCTGCGCTTTGTGTGGGTCATCAGGCTACCTGTAGGGGACTAAAGTTTCTTTTGCATGTAGGTTGGTCCTGCTGTTACTTGTCTTTGGTGGAAGTGAGGCCTGGAGAGAGAAAGATTGTGTTTCAGAAGAAAACTCTATATTAAGTTAACCTTTGACTTCTGGGTGGCCACGTGGTCACCCCTGGTATGGAGCTGCCCACAATGCCCCTTCTCAGCATGAAGCAGCCGGAAAGACTGACAGCCAGATTCCCCAGGATTGAGGAATTGATCAATAGAAAAGTGGGACTGAAACCGACCCAAGAGTCCTACAGACAGTTTTTTTTTTTTTTTGTATAAACATGGAAATTGACTCTCTGATCACAAATCTTGAAACTTATATTTGTTTTATCTGAATTCCTTCCTTAAGAAAGGACCCCTAGGCCTCTCAGAAGGTATCAAAGGACTGAAACTGACCAGATTGCTGTATGCAGACAATGCGACGCCAAACCTCTGGTTCATCATGATTGCTTCTTTATCCCTCCCGAGTTCCTGTTTTCCATACATAGTCCATTTTTCCCTGCTCTATAATTTTAGTCAGTCCAGGAGATGGTTTTGAGGTGGATCTCCCATCTCCTTGGCTGCAGCACCCAATTAAAGCTTTCTTTCTTGGCAATGCTTGTCTCAGTCACGGGCTTTCTGTGCAGCAAACAGCAGGACCTAGACTCAACCCCTGGTGTTTCAGTAGCAGTAGTGATGGTGATGCTGGTGGCAGGAACCTCCCAAGTGCTGGAGTCTTGGAAGTGTGGGCACCATGGGTGAGCCAGGACTCCAAGTGAGCTTAGGGAAAGGAAGCGGACTGAGGCCTGAGGCAGGCACAGGGGAGTGGAGGGAGAGCTGCAGGCGCGGGGGTCACAGGGAGGAACTGCTGGAGGGGAGGAGCTACAGGTTGAGAGGAGCTGTGGGCAGGGAGGAGCCTTGGGTGGGGAGGAGCCACTAGCGTGGAGGTGCTGCGGGTGTGGTGGTTGGGGAGTGGCCATCGCAGTAAGAACCTGGCAGGGTCCGCCAGCTGGGCAGCGGGCAGCGAGGATGGGGTCATTGCTCAGACATGCCATGCGGGCCCCAGGTAGCAGGGGCAATGGGTCTTGTTGCTCTGGGTTGATGTGGTCCAAGGAGTCACCGGATAGGAGGAGGGGAAGTCCTGACATGCTCGCCGCCCGCATCTACAGCAACCGTCTCACGTTTGTAAACCAAAAGTAAAATTCTAAGCTTCCCAACCATCTGAATGGACGTCCCCTCTTGCCAAGGACATTCCAAAGTTTACCTGAAAGACTAGTTTGCGCCAGGATGGTTTGGGGGAGCGGGACGTGCCTCATTATACCCTCCTTTCTTTTGGAATTACTGATAGAACAGATGCTTTAAATCTGATAAGAAACATTTACTTGGCCGGGCGCGGTGGCTCGCACCTGTAATCCCAGCACTTTGGAAGGCCAAGGTGGGTGGATCATTCGAGGTCAGGAGCTCAAGACCCAGCCTGGCCAACATGGTGAAACCCCATCTCTACTAAAAAAAAAAAAAAATCCAAAAATTAGCTGGGGGCATGGTGCCTGTAATCCCAGCTAATTGGAAGGCTGAGGCAGGAGAATCGCTTGAACTCGGGAGGCGCAGGTTGCAGTGACAAGATCGTACCACTGCACTCCAGCCTGGGCAACGGAGTGAAACTCTGTCTCAAAAAAAAAAAAAAAAAAGGAAACACTTACTTTACTTTAAATCTGATTAAAAAAACATTTACAATCTATTTTCCCTGAAGCCTGCTACCTGGAGGCTTCACCTGCATGCTGAAACCTTGGTCTCCACAACCCCTTATCTTAACCCAGACATTCCTTTCTATTGATTTGGAAAATCTTTGGCTCTGCTTATGACCTGGAAGCCCCCACTTTGACTTGTCCCTCCTTTCCGGACCAAACCAATGTACATTTTACATGTATTGATTGATGTCTCATGTCTTCCTAAAATGTATAAAACCAAGCTGTGTCCCAACCACCTTGGGCACGTGTTCTCAGGATCTCCTGAGGGCTGTGCCACGGGCCATGGTCACTCATATTTGGCTCAGAATAAATCTCTTCAAATATTTTACAGAAGTTGACTCTTTTCGTTGACATGTTGCTACTGCTTTTTTAAAAAAGCAAAACACCTCCCATCTTCCTTCTTCACTGGCAGCTCCCCTCAGCTGGAAACACGCCTCTTCCCTGCTGCCCTTGTGGCGGCCAGTGGGCCCCTCCCTCCACATCTCACTTTGCCAGGGGCTTTCCTGCCCTCCCTCAACCTTCCCTCTCGGGCTCCCACACTCTCTCAGGTACCCAGTCAACTTCAAATGTTGGACATTCCCCTGAATTGGGTGGATTTCTTCTCATGGGTCTCCACTATAACCTCCAACTAATTTCCTCCACTTCCATAGAACTTCCTGGCACAGGGATGCAGATGGCATCCAAGGTCTGTCTCTAGAAGTGCCACTCATGCCAACGCCCTACTGTTCTTGGAAAGGGGTCCTGAGACAAACTCTAAGAGAAGGTTCTTGGGTCTTGCACAAGAAAGAACTCAGGGTGAGTCCATAGAGTAAAGTGAAAGCAAGTTTATTAAGACAGTAAAGGCATAAAGAATGGCTACTCCACAGGCAGAGCAGCCCCAGCGGTTGCTGGTTGGCTATTTTTATGGTTATTTCTTGATCATACACTAAACAAGGGGTGGATTATTCATAAGTTTCCTGGGAAGGGGGCAGGGATTTCCTAGAACTGAGGGTTCCTCTTCCTTTTAGACCACATAGGGTAACTTCCAGACATGGGTAACTTCCTGCTGTGGCACTGGCATGCCATGGCACTGGCGGGAGTGTCTTTTAGCATACTAAGGCATTATAATTAGCGTATGATGAGCAGTGAAGAGGACCAGAAGTCATGTTGTCACCGTCTTGGATTCGGTGGGTTTTGGCCGGCTTCTTTATTGCATCCTGTTTTTATTTATTTTTTTGAGACTAGAGTGCGCTCTAGCACCAGGCTAGAGTGCAGTGGCACAATCGTGGCTCACTGCAGCTTCGACCTTCTGGGCTCAAGTGATCCTCCCACCTTGGCCTCTTGAGTAGCTGGGACTACAGGCGTGTGCCACCATGCCTGGCTAATTTTTAAATTTTTGTTGTTGTTGTGACGGGCTTTTGCTATGTTGTTCAGGCTGGTCTCAAACTCCTGGGCTCAAGCGATCTACCTGCCTTGGTCTCCCAAAGTTTGGGGATTACAGGTGTGACCCACTGCCCTGGGCCCTGCATCCTGTTTTATCAGCGGGTCTTGGTGGCATGTATCTTGTGCTGGCCTTCTGAGAAGGCCTAAATTCCTGGGAATGCAGCCCTGTAGGTCCCAGCCTCATTTTACCCATCCCCTGTTCAAGATGGAGTTGCTCTGGTTTCAACTCCTGTGACACTACCTATATTTATATTTGAATATCCTGGGCTGTCTTTGCTTACAGGGGCGGTTGGGATGTCCCACGTGCCTCCAGTGGAACACCCCCACTCCCACTGGGCTTCCTTGGGTATAAATGTTGCTGGAGCCTCTCAGAGCAGTTCTCACCTCTGCCCGCCCCCTGACCTGTGCTAGTCATGGCAGCAGCTCATGTCCTAATTCTCCAGCTGCATCCTGGCAGCTGCAGTTCTATGGCCGTGGACTGCCGACAGGCGCCCTAGCTTTTCCACATCAGACGGCCATCCATATGGTTTCCCTAAAACTCCAAAGTAATTGCATCCTACATTTGTTTAAAAGCACTCATGACTCTCCAGACGGCAGATAGAGTTCAGATGCCTGAAACCGGCTGCCCTGCCAAGAGGGTTCCTGGGAAGTTTGGGGCTTCCCGAGGGTCTCGCCACTGCCCCTCTGACAGGAAACAGCAGACCCTGGCTCCCCCAAAGCTGGCTCTTCCTGCTATGGGTGAACATGTGGCTGACCCGCAACAGCAAATTCCTGTATGTGCCCTCCCCTCTGGCGTGAGTTCCAGATCATTTTCTTTCCCCACAAAAATGGAAGGGAAGGTCTGCATCGGTGCTCTTGGAATAAACTCATCAGCAGGAGCGTGTGTGGGGAGAGAGGAGTGCAGCCACCTTGCTTTTTTATGTGTAAAAAGGAAACTAGTTTGATGCCAATGTATGTATTTATTTGTTTTTTAGAGAAGGGGGTCTCATTATACTGCTCAGACTGGATTTGAACTCCTGGACTCAAGTGCTCTTCCTGCCTCAGTCTCCAGAGTAGCTGGGACTACAGGCTCACCCTACTGCACCCAGGCTGGAATTTCAATGTCAAGTTCAATGGCTGGAAATCAAACTTTTCCTATAGCAGTATATTTATGGTGCCATAGTGTTGTGGCGTGGGCACCCACCAGTATTGTTTTGTATGCTGTTGGAATGAATGCCTTCTAGATTTACTGGGAGAGGTCCATCCATGTCCAAAGTTCCAACTCTCTTACAATCTTTAATGTGCAAATGGGAGTGGAGTACCAAGAAGAACCTGAGGGGGCGGAGAAGAGAGTCGCCCTGTTGTCTCCTTCCAGCGTCAGCCTAACCATCAGTGTGAGCTGGGACACACCCCCAAGGCACACTTGTGTGTGAGTGTGTGCATGTGTGTGTGTCATTGCTATGGGGTAGATAATGACCAGTACCTACAGGCTGGAAAGGAAAGAGGTGAGGAAGTGAGAGGGAGGAAGAGGGAAGACAGGAGAGGCCAGAAGTACGTGATTGTAAGGAATTAAGAGCAGTTTAATGGAGAGTCAACATTGATGGGTACTCCAGTTCATTCCTTTGCCTGTTCCGACAGGATGATTATACACACACACACACTCCAGCCTAGGTTTATGACTGCCTCACCTGGATGGTAAAGCTCCACTTGCAGGTAGAGTCCAATTCAAATGTTATTTGGGTCTCTGTCATCTCTGTTTTCTCATCCTCATTGAGTCTCTTTTGCTAATGCCATCCCTGGTGGGCCAGTGCCCTCAGTGTGAGTATTTCTTCTGGCTTCCTAGCCTTTTATTTCCTTCAAGAGTAAGGTGAGATTGAGCATGGCAGAAGCAGCCTGGACACAGACCAGACCCTGCTGTGCTGGAGACACTACAGACACCAACCTTCTAGCAGCTGCTGCCCTGGAAGGCTCCCCAGAGGCTTGATTATTTGAGGACAATGGATGAACTTTCACATTTTGTTCTAGAATCATGACCTATTATGTGTAGGGTACTGTTGTGCAAATATCACTAGATGGCATTTTCTTGGCTGACATTTTCACTCATTGAAATGTAAAAGAATTTGCACTGATTGGCCTGTTTGTTGTTCTGTATGTAAAAATGGCCTTCACGCCTTTTTTAAGTGTGAGGCACTCCCTTTTAAAAAATATTTTAGCAGAAAGCTAAAACAAAACATCTGACAGTGGAGGTGCACTCTTTGAAATAATTGTCTCCCATCTCCCGCCTCATCCACTCAGCTCCTTTTCCTTCCCATCGTGCCCCTGAGAGACTCAGAAGACCCCTGCTAAGGCTTAAGGGAGTATAGCCTCACAACTGCAGGGTGAGGCACTGCAGTCCACTGGTGATGTGGAAGAAGCAAGATCAGGGGATGATACCCTGTTTATAAAAGTCAGCACATGCATGATGATCCTTATCTCTGCATAGAGTTTTCTGTAATTCTTGCTTTGCATATTTTCTAATTTTCCAAATGGAAACATACATTTCTTATGTGGCTTTAAAAAATGTGAGCAAAATATACATGCATATGATAAAAGAGAGGATAACATAATATAGAAAAATAGCTTGCAGGGTTATTGGATTGTGGATGATTTGTCTCTTCATTTCCTAAAATGTCCTCAATAGTAACAGCAAAGAGACTTTGGGAAACAGAGGCACATGGATGAACTTTAATATTTTATTGAATAGTGACCCAGCCAAAGAGAATCCTACTCTACTATTATTAGGTAAGGCTTAATAGAAAGATATAATTAGGCCAGGTGTGGTGGCTCACGCCTGTAATCCTAGCACTTTGGGAGGTCAAGGCAGGTGGATCACTTGAGGTCAGGAGTTCGAGACCAGCCTGGGCATCATGGCGAAACCCCACCTCTACCAAAAATACAAAAATTAGCTGGGTGTGGTGGTGCAGGTCTGTGGTCCCAGCTACTCGGGAGGCTGAGGCAGGAGAATTGCTTGAACTTGGAAGGCAGAGGTTGCAGTGAGCCGAGATCGTGCCACTGCAGTCCAGTCTAGGTGACAGAGCAAGCCTTTGTCTAGGAAAAAAAGAAATAATTAATGTTGGACTTATAAAAATTTGCTAAAATTATAATAACTGATAGTAACCTGTAGTAACTTTTGATTTAGTAATAAAGTTTCTCTCAGGCACATCTTTTCCTTCTACCTTCCAGGGTGCACATGGGTGATCCAGCCACTCTCACATGGAAGCATACCTCCTGGACCTGCCCCAAGTGATGTGTCGACTGGCCCCAAATCAACACCTCCAACTCAAGTTTCCACGTGGGATTTGGGCTTCATATTTGATGTCTATGCCAAGGCTGCCCTGGACAGCTCCCTAGCCTAGTTTCAGCAACTCCGGGGGAAGTGGTACCTCTCTGTGGACTCTCCCAGATTTAAAGTAACTGTCTCTTCAACATAGCCCTTATTTTACATCTCAAATGGACCCTTCAGATTTGGTGAGATCTGTCCAGCTGTTTCACATGACATGGTGACAGAAATGTAGTTTTTAGTTTTATTTTTTAGAAATGTAGCTTTGGCCCGGCACGGTGGCTCACACCTGTAATCCCAGCACTTTGGGAGGCCGAGGCAGGTGGATCACCTGAGGTCAGGAGTCCAAAACCAGCCCGAACAAGATGTTGAAACCCCATCTCTACTAAAGATACAAAAATTAGCCGGGCCTGGTGGTGCATGCCTGTAATCACAGCTACTTGGGAGGCTGAGGCAGGAGAATCACTTGAGCCCGGGAGGCAGAGGTTGCAGTGAGCTGAGATTGCGCCACTGCACTCCAGCCTGGGTGACAGAGTGAGGCTGTCTCAAAAAAAAAAAAAAAAAATGTAGTTTTTATTTACAGAGAATTACATTCTTTATTCACAGAACAGTGGTTACAAATTATATTAGTGACACCAAATTGGGAAGGAGCTAGCAGCAATCGGGATTTTATGGAATGATCAAGGATGCAGGCTGTGGAATCAAATCACAGTTTCCAACCCTGACTTCATTGACACCAACCACCTAGGAGATCGGGAACAAACTCAGTCTCCTCATCTTGGTGGGTACTTACTGCAGGGCCTCGGTGTGTGATAGTGAGGGTTAGCTGAGAGGCACATAAAGAACTTAGGGCGGTGCCTGTTTGCACTAGGGGCGGGTACAGCCAGCTGGTCTCTGAGGGTGCCTGTGAGCCCTGCAGCAGTCCTGTTGCTGAGGCCCCATATTGGCTACTCTGTGACTAAGCCAGTGTATTCGTTTCCTATTGCTGCCATCACAAATTACCTCAAACCTCAAATGGCTGAAAACAACCGAGCTTTACACCGTACAGCTCTGAAGTCAGAACTCCAAAACGGGTCAGCTGGGTTGATTCCTCCCAAGGCTCCGGGGAGAATCTGCTTCCTGGCCTTTTCCAGCTCCTAGAGGCCGCCTGTGTTCCATGGCTTGTGGCTCCGCATCACCCTGACCTCTGCCTCTGTCCTCACGTCTCCTCTGGCTGTGGCCCTCCTCCCTCTCTCATGAGGACCTGTGATCACACTGAGCCCACCCAGATGATCTATAAGAATGATTTGTGATCCTAATGTCTAAAAATGGAGTGGCTTGTGTTATGTGTGTAAACCAAAAATAAAATTCTAAGCCCTCAGTCCTCTATATGGACCCGTCCTCTCGGTAAAGGCCCAAAGCTAACTTGCAAACTAGTTCAGGCCATGATGGGAAGGGGAGCCGGACATGCCTCATTATGCAGTCTTCCGTTTTGGAATTACTGATAGAGCAGACTCTTTAAGTCTGATAAGAAACATTTACGGTTTATTATGTCTCACACCTGCTACCTGGAGGCTTCACCTGCATGATAAAAGCTTGGTGTCCACAACCCCTTATCATCATCCAGACATTCCTTTCTATTGATTCAGAAAACCTCTGGGTTTGCCTATGACCTGGAAGCCCCTGCTTCCAGTTGTCCTGCCTTTCCAAACCAAAGTACATCTTACACGTATTGATTGATGTCTCATGTCTCCCTAAAATGTATAAAACCAAGCTGTGTCCTGACCTTGGGCACCTGTTCTCAGGACCTCCTGAGGCCGTGTCATCGGCATGCCCTTAACCTTGGCAAAATAAACCTCTAAATTGATCCAGACTTGCCTCAGATACTTTTTGGTTTTCAAGTGGCATGAAGCCCACAGTGAAGTTGTTTACTCCTTAAAGTGGTAAGCGTATGTGTACTAGACTGAGCCTGAGCTCATAGTAAAGTTGTTTTTCTTTAAGGCGATAAACATATGTATAAGAGATGAGATTACATTTGCTGTGGCATGTACCACTTGAGACCCAAAAGGAACCGATAGAAAATGGAGCCAAAAGGTGGCTGAGATGATGATGACGGACACACCTGGGGAAAACCATAAAACCAGCAAGGAACTGACACTGTCAGAGGCACCTTGAGAATTCCTGCCTGTAGGAGACATCACACTCTGGGGACTGTTGTGGGGTGGGGGGAGGGGGGAGGGATAGCATTAGGAGATATACTTAATGTTAAATGACGAGTTACTGGGTGCAGCACACCAACATGGCACATGTATACATATGTAACTAACCTGCATGTTGTGCACATGTACCCTAAAACTTATAATAGAAAAAAAAAAGTGCCTCCTCCCGGTGAGACGGGCTGCCCAGAGGCTCTGTGTGAGAGGAGTGTCTGCTGTGCTGGCCTCCTCAGCCACAGCCTGGGTTTGCCATTCCGCTCATTACTGCCTTTAGTAATTGTATCATGTCATTCCCATCACTCACAGGAAAAGAAACAATGAAAAAAATAATTGTATTGTGAATGTTTGCTCGATTGATTGGGTATGTGTGAGTCTCTGGCAATAAACCATATTTAAGCATTGCAAATTGGCTACCGGGTCATTGGGAAACCTGGCTTTGATCTGAGCACACAGGCCAGAAGAACCTGATTACAATAACATTTAAAATGAACATAATACCAGATAACCAGCACGTCTCCCATCTCAAGATTCTTAACTAGAGGGACCACATCGGCAAAATCTCTTTTGCCATGTAAGACAGTCACTGGTTTTGGGGATTAGGAGGTAAGACATCTTTGGCAAGGGGCATTATTCTGCTGGCTACACCCCAGTGTTCACTGACTGGGGACTGACGACTAGGTGGCCATAGAGGGCTTGGTTGATGTGCTTCTGATCCAGACCTTCCCTGGTGGATGAATTCAGGTGCAGATGGCACTTTTTTTTTTTTTTTTTTTTTTTTTTTGGAGACAGTCTCACTCTTTCACCCAGGCTGGAGTGCAGTGGTGCAATCTCGGCTCACTGCAACCTGCACCTCCTGGATTCAAGTGATTCTCCTGCCTTAGCGTCCTGAGTAGCTGGGATTACAGGTGTGTGCCACCACGCCTGGCTAATTTTTTGTATTTTTAGTAGAGACAGGATTTCACCATGTTGGCCAGGCTGGTCTCGAACTCCTGACCTCAAGTGATCCACCCGCCTCAGCCTCCCAAAGTGCTGGGATTACAGACGTGAGCCACTGCGCCCTGCCCAGATGGCACTTTTGCCAGCAGTTTATTAAGGAGGAGGGTGATGAGAGCAACTCATGAAATATGTTTTTCTTGCCCCTGAGCATCTCCTCTGCCATGGCCATGGTGCTCATAGGGACAGGTGGAAATGTACCTATCACATGGGGAGAATGATGGCATGTTTTTCTCCTGTGCTTCCACAGAGGGGCCTTTTCATACCTTCACATCAGCCGGTAAAAGCTGGGGTGGCCTGTAGGTGGCAGGAAGGACCTCATGATAGCACATGGCAGAAATGGATAGAAAGGTGAACTGTGCAGGATGGGGAATCTCCTGTAGTGTTTGTGGGAGAAATCAAGTGATGAAGTTATTTTCTCTAGACAAAAGCATCCATAAATCACAGCAAAATTGCATCTTTGATAAGGTAAAGCTACAATTCTATTCCACAAAAAGACAATTTCAATTTTTTGTTTTAAACTTTTGCTAAATGTGTTTAAAATAGAATTGCAGCTGTAAATGAACCTTCCATAAAATGGGTTATTTTTAGTGGATGATAATGAATACGTGAAAAAAGAAAAAAACACAAATGAGAATGTATATCTTCTGGAGCTTAGAGGGCAAATATATTCTGACTGCCCCAAAATGGATGATGGGAACCATATGTACAAATGAGGTAGTGGGCACTGCTTTAGGGAAGCAGTCCTTAACCTTTCTGAGTCTCAGGTTTCTTTGATGATCTGGGGAAGTGTCTCGGCGTGTTACCACCTGTGCAATGTTGTGCAAGTCACATTAGTGGTGTCTGGCTGACCTCTCGAACTGCATCCACAGACCTCAGCTGAAGATCCCCCTGCAGCTGTTTCTTCCAGCTTCTGGTGGAAGGGCCGGTGATAGAGGAACAACCTTAATTTTCACTGTGGCTTGACATTTAAATCACAGTGTTACCTGGAGAACTTCTGTAAAATTACTGGTGAAACATTTTCAGTTTTATGTCTGCTCTTTCTTGTGTTCCCTGGGGCCAGGTTAGATTTAAACCTGAAGACTCATTTTTTTTTTTTTTCTGTTCTGTTTTCCTCCTGTTATCAAGGCTTCCTAGCATGAATAAATCTGCCAGACCCATGGTTCTCACCTAGGGGGCAACTGTGCCCCGGCCTGGAGGACATTTGGCAATGTCTGGAGACATTTTTGGTTATCATCATTGAGGGGTAGGTGTGCCTGGCATGGAGGGGGTGGAGGCCAGGGATGCTGCTGAATGTCCTGCACTGCACAGGACAGCACCCAGTGCAAAGAATGATCTGGCTTCACACATCAGCAATACGTCAGTTGAGAAACCCTGCGCTAGACAATTAAAGCATTTCGTTATAGGACCCTACCTAATTTTTTGTGTAGAGATTCATTTGGAGGTCCCTCTTTAGGGGAAGTAAGAGGGCAATGTTCGAAGTTGGCATTGCTGTTTAATATTACCAGGCACTTTGTTTAAACAAAGATAACGACGTTCACCAAGACTTCCAGTCACTTCCCATTGAAGTGAATATATCTTAGAATCGCTGACAGACTTTGGAGAAAAAAACACGTTTTAGTAAGTAGTACTCAGAATCAATGAAAAGGAAAATAAAAGAGGAACTACAGAAGAGTAGAGAATACACACAATTCTGCTGCCATCACATGTACTTAGAATTGCACTTGTGTAATTATAATTTTTATTTATTATTTTTTTTTTGAGACAGAATCTCAGTCTGTTGCCCAGGCTGGAGTGCAGTGGTGCGATCTTGGCTCACTGCAACCTCCATTTCCTGGGTTCAAGCCATTCTCCTGCCTCAGCCTCCTGAGTAGCTGGGATTACAGGCGCATGCCACCACGCCTGGCTAATTTTTGTATTTTTAGTAGACATGGGGTTTCACCATATTGGCCAGGCTGGTCTTGAACTCCTGACCTCAAGTGATCCACCTGCCTTGGCCTCCCAAAGTGTTAGGATTACAGGTGTGAGCCACTGGGCCTGGTCTAATTTTAATCTTTAATATTGCTTCTAAATTACATCTCCCTTGTTTATTTTTTGATAACCCTCTTCTGATGTCAATTTCAATATGTCCATTCTCCTGCGCCCAAATCTGCGTCTCCTCCTTAAACCCCGTCTTCCAGCATGCAGCACAAGGCTCAGCCATCAGGGCCTCCTCCCCCATCTCACCTCTGGGTGCTGGACTGGTTTCCTCTCAAGGCCTCTTACATTCGCCCCCTTTCTGAGTCATCCCTGCTACTGCCTGGCTTCACAATCCCCCTTTAGCTTCTACACTACCATCTTAACTGCCTTTTAAGCACTCTCTCCAAGCACAGCCTGAAACCTCCCTCTGTCTCATAAACCCCCATTACTGACAGAATAGTTTTTGTAAATAAAAAATCTGTTCATTAAACTGAGGCTTTAAATGTGAGTAGCTTTTATTTACTTAAACGTGTACTCACAGTCCAGAAAAACCCTTCCATAATGCAATACATGAGGCTCAAACAAATTCTACCAGGTTGAAGGGGTGGGTCGCCCCTCCACACCTGTGGGTGTTTCTCGTTAGGTGGAACGAGAGACTTGGAAAAGAAAAAGACACGGAGACAAAGTATAGAGAAAGAAATAAGGGCACCCAGGGGACCAGCATTCAGCATATGGAGGATCCCGCCGGCTTCTGAGTTCCCTTTGTATTTATTGATCATTCCTGGGTGTTTCTGAGAGAGGAGGATGTGTCAGGGTCACAAGACAATAGTGGGGAGAGGGTCAGCAGACAAACACGTGAACAAAGGTCTTTGCATCATAGACAAGGTAAAGAATCAAGTGCTGTGCTTTAGATACGCATCCACATAAACATCTCAATGCTTTACAAAGCAGTATTGCTGCCCGCATGTCCCACCTCCAGCCCTAAGGTAGTTTTTCCCTATCTCAGTAGACGGAACGTACAATCGGGTTTTATACCGAGACATTCCATTGCCCAGGGACGGGCAGGAGACAGATGCTTTCCTCTTGTCTCAACTGCAAGAGGCATTCCTTCCTCTTTTACTAATCCTCCTCAGCACAGACCCTTTACGGGTGTCGGGCTGGGGGACGGTCAGGTCTTTCCCTTCCCATGAAGCCATATTTCAGACTATCCCATGGGGAGAAACCTTGGATAATACCTGGCTTTCCTAGGCAGAGGTCCCTGCGGCCTTCCGCAGTGTTTGTGTCCCTGGATACTTGAGATGAGGGAGTGGTGATGACTCTTAAGGAGCATGCTGCCTTCAAGCATCTGTTTAACAAAGCACATCCTGCACAGCCCTTAATCCATTTAACCCTGAGTCTGACACAGCACATGTTTCAGAGAGCACGGGGTTGGGGGTAAGGTCATAGATCAACAACATCTCAAGGCAGAAGAATTTTTCTTAGTACAGCACAGAATGGAGTCTCCTATGTCTACTTCTTTCTACACAGACACAGTAACAATCTGATCTCTCTTGCTTTTCACCACACCAGGTAGCATGCAGGATGATGTTATCTGAGATCAGTGAGCTGCTGACTGGCTGGATTCCAAGGGTTCTTCTGTAAGATTCAAATACATCCCAGTCATCACTGCTGCCGGGGACTCTCCTGTGGAGGTTGCCTGCTCTCGGCTTATATCCCACTGGGGCAGATTCTGGGCCCTTTGGGTGGATAAGCACCAGCGATCCCAGGAATCATTTTTGAACATTGGCCTGATCTTTGACTATTATAATTGGAGAATACTGGGGACACAGGGGGCCACCTGCCACCTTTCTCGTTGCCTAGCCCCTTCTCCTCTCTACATCCTCTTCTGTAGAACCAAGATTATTTGAGAACAAGAAGATGGGCAGAGGATGGGAGGCTAGTGCCAAGCCCATTATAGCTGAAACCAGGTGATCATGGAAGGGAGTCAGCTCTGGGCTTCAAAGGTTTGCATACAGGCCTTTTCGATTTGACCTCAACATACGTTTCAAGGCTCATCTCCTGCTGCTGTGTTCTTCTTATCCCCCTCCCGACATACGTACTCGAGCACACACACACACACACACACAACCTCGACACACGTACTCGAGCGCACACACACACACAACCTCGACACACGTACTCGAGCACACACACACACAACCTTGACACACGTACTCGAGCACACACACACACCTCGACACACGTACTCGAGCACACACACACAACCTCGACACGTACTTGAGCACACACACACCTCGACACACGTACTCGAGCACACACACACAACCTCGACACACGTACTCGAGCACACACACACAACCTCGACACGTACTCGAGCACACACACACACAACCTCGACACACGTACTCGAGCACACACCTCGACACACGTACTCGAGCACACACACAACCTCGACACACGTACTCGAGCACACACACACAACCTCGACACACGTACTCGAGCACACACACACAACCTCGACACACGTACTCGAGCACACACACAACCTCGACACACGTACTCAAGCGCACACACACAACCTCGACACACGTACTCGAGCACACACACACACAACCTCAACACACGTACTCGAGCACACACAACATCGACACACGTACTCGAGCACACACACAACCTCGACACACGTACTCGAGCACACACACACAACCTGGACACACATACTCGAGCACACACACACACACACACAACCTCGACACACATACTCGAGCGCACACACACACACAACCTGGACACACATACTTGAGCGCGCGCACACACACACACAACTTTGACACACATACTCGAGCACACACACACACACAACCTGGACACACATACTCGAGCACACACACACAACCTCGACACACGTACTCGAGCACACACACAACCTTGACACACGTACTCGAGCACACACAACCTTGACACACGTACTCGAGCACACACACACACAACCTCGACACACGTACTCGAGCACACACACACACACACACACACAACCTCGACACACATACTCGAGCGCGCACACACACACACACACAACCTCCAGACCCTTCCAAGTCCATCTTCAGGGACCTTCCTTGGTCCCTGTTCTCTCAAGCCACCTGGATGATGCAGATCTGAAATGCCGTTTCCCTGTTTGCCCACTTGCAGATCTCTATTTCTTGATCATCTAATCCCAGTATGAAGCCTTTCAATCATTCAACAAATACGCTTCAGCAAATACAGTTGTCTCTTGGTATCTGATTGATTCCAGGATCCTAGCGAACATTGAGCTCTGCGGATCCTCAAGTCCCTAATATAACATGGCGTAGTGTTTGCATATAACCTATGCAAATGTAACCTGTGTAACATCCTCCCATACGCTTGAAATCATCTCTAGATTATGTATAATACCTAATACAATGTAAATGCTGTACAAATAGCCGTTATACTGTATTGTTTTAAATTTTGTATTATTTTTTGATTTTTTAAAAAATTTTTCCATCTGCAGTTGGTTGAATCTGTGGATGTGGAACCTGAGGTACCGGTGGCCAAATGTACAGTGTGCTAATATAAAAATTAGTAAAGGAGGGTTAGGCTGTCCTGAGGCTCGCAGTCCGGTGTGGGAGACAGAAGATTTAGTGGAAAGTCCCTGTGGAGCTTAAGTGTTGGGCTGGGCCATTCTAGGGGTGTTCAGGGCACCTTGGAAGTACCTCAGTGTGCTCGCCGTCTCTCCCTCAGACTGCTGCCCTCTTGGGCCAGATATTGTGTCTTCAACTTGGTACCAAGTTCCCAGCAAGTGCCAAGCCAAGCCCATGGCAGGAAGCGAATTATTTTTTGTTAACTGAATGCATGAGTCTTAGAATGGAACCTGACTGTGTCACAAGCATGATAGGAACATGTTGGGGGCAGGGAAATGTTTTCAAAGTTGTGGAAACCTTTGCAGAATGAATAGGGCCACGCTCCATATTTTGCTCTTTGCAGGACTTTAAGGAAGTGTGTCAAATGCCCACAGGTAGAGCTGGAAAATGTGGCCTTTGCTAAAGATGCAGAAGAGTCTAGAGACGCACAACGGCTGGGTCATTGGTGGTGAGGGACTTTATTTGCAGTGAACTTGGAGCTAGGAAGGAAGTTACTGCTGGGTGGGTCCTCAGTGACGGAGGTCTGCTTACACGTTTGCCAGGTTTTCAGGCCAGCAACATGATTCTGTCATTTCTCTTGGGCTTGTCTGATCATGAAGTAGTGATTTTTGAAAAATCCTTGGACCTGGTGTGAGGATCAAAGACTCCCTTCCTCCGGACAGTGTTGGAAAATCCTGGAAAAATGCTTCCTCTGGGGCCCTGTGTATTTTCTATCTGGGAAAACCATGATGAGCAATCAGATAAAGAAATATTTTTGTGATATGTTGTGACTTTCTTAAAGTAATAAAGTAGAAGAGATTTTAAATGAAAAATATAGGTAATTGCAAAATCTCTTGATTCTTAGCTATTTCTGAACAGATTTCATGCCCCACCCCCCCATACAATTTTTAGTGGGGGAAAGAGGAGAAAGGAAAGGAAAAGCTAAAATAACCTTGTTTTCATAGTTCTGTGTTTTTATCCTTTCCTAAACCCATTTTCCATCGCTGGTCACATGATTTGGATTGAAAGGACGTTTCCTCTAGGCCTCGGAGCACAGAGGCAGCTAACATGTTTGCACTATGCCATCATGGTCCACGTTTACTCAGACACTTTCTTGCAATGGCACTGACAACGATGCCCCCATTTGTTGCCTTAAAATTCATGGGTATGGCCAGGCACAGTGGTTCACGCCTGTAATCCCAGCACTTTGGGAGGCTGAGGCGGGAGGATCACCTGATGTCAGGAGTTCGTGACCAGCCTGGCCAACATGGTGAAACCCCATCTCTACTAAAAATACAAAAATTAGCTGGGTATGGTGATGCATGCCTATAGTCCCAGCTACTTGGGAGGCTGAGGCAGGAGAATCGCTGGAATTGGGAGGTGGAGGTTGCAGTGAGCCAAGATCACGCCATTGTTCTCCAGCCTAGGCGATAGAGCAAGACTCCACCTCAAAAAAATAAATAAGTGGATAAATAAATAACAGCTTTTTGTTTAATCAATTGTCTCTATCATTATAAAGTTTTCTATATCATTGATTTATTCTCTAATCTTTATTATTTCTTCTTTTCTACTGATTATGTGTTCAATGTATTTATACTTTTTCTAGTTTTTGAAGGTAGAAACTGAGGTCATTGATTTGAAGCCTTTCTCCTCTCCTAATATAGGCATTTCATGCTGCAAAATTTCCCCAAAGCTGACTTAATAACATCCTACAAATTTTGATGTTTTTATTTTCATTTTTTATTAATTTCAAAATACATTCTAATTTCCCTTTTGATTTTATAATATTTTTATAAGTATTATTCAGTTATAAAAAGAAATAAAGTACTAACAAATGCTACCTGGAACCATCAAGAATGACCCTTGAAAACATTATGCTAAGTGAAAGAAGGCAGTCAGGAAAGACCACATATTGTATGATTCAATTTGCATGAAATCTTCACAGTCGGTCAATCCGCAGGGCCAGAAAAGAAATCTGGAGGTCGGAGCCTCTCCCAGAAGCCAGGGGTTGTGGGAAGGAGGAAATGGAGAATAATTGCTAATGGGTATCACAGTTCCTTTTAGGGTGATGAAAACCTTCTGGAGTTAGATAGTGGTGAGAGTTGGACAGCTTTGTCAATATACCAAGAACTATTGAATTGTATGCTTTAAAAGGATGCATATTATGGTCCGTGAATTGTCTTTTAATAAAGGTTTTATTTTTAAAAACAAGCTAGGCACCTAGGGTGTCAAATTGAAGGAGGCTCTGATTCTCAGGGCCGCGCAAATGCAGGGTTGGCACCTATGCGTGTGGCCCTCCTGAAATTTTGTGCCTTAGGCACCTGCCTTGCTTCTCCCTAATTCAGGCCCTCAGGAGAAAGCTCTAATTCTGGTCAATTTGAAACAGGAGGGCACGGCTTCTGGGCGACGCTCCGTGCTCCAGAGAGAGCCATTTGTCTGTTCCCTTCCTCTGGACGTCACCGTGCCAACATGAAATGCTTCCAATTGAGTCCAGCCTGAGATGGAAGGGGGTGGGGGGATATCTGATGACATCACGAACTGCTGCATCAACTCCCCCGAGTCCCTGCCTCTGGACCCCCTGATAGAGGACACAAGGAGTGTCCTGAGCCCGTGTGACTCAGTGTCTCTTCCCATCACTTTGCGGGAAAATGGGGCTGCTTACACCACACCGCAGCCCAAACACCTGTGGCTAGAGAAGGGCTTGGGTACTAGGAGTGAGGACGCCTGGTTCTGGGCCCAGGACTAGTACTAGTTAGTGGTGGGACCTGGAACAAATGCTTTGGTTCTAAGTGAATCCCCCATATTCATGACAAGAGGCGTGGAACACAGACCCATGGGACCTTCCCACTGGAACACGGAGCTTGGCTGTCACCCGACCTTCGCTTCCTTAAGTACAAAAGCCCAGGGTTCCAGGCTCCGTCTCCTTTCCCGCAGACGCCTTGTTTCTTCGCGCGGAGGCCCTGGACGCCGCAGGCTCCCAACCTACTTCTCTGGGCTGTCAGGTTCTGAACCCGGTCCTGAAGAGGCCCTGGCGCCGGGGGTGGGTGAGGCCGAGCGCGCGCCTTGGGAACCTGGCCGGCCTCAGGCTGGCGGGAGCATTGGCGGACATCGCCCCGGGCGGGGCGGACTGGGGGGACCCTGACCTGACCCTGCTCCCAGCTCTGACCTCGGCCACCACGCGCGGCGCCCCCGCTGGTCCCGCCAGGCTCCGCCTAAACGCAGAAAGCGTGGGAGGCGCCCGACCCTGCGGTATAAAAGCGGTGCCTGCAGAGGCCCTAGCGGGAGTCCGCGGCGAGCGCAGCAGCAGGGCCGGGTCCTGCGCCTCGGGGGTCGGCGTCCAGGCTCGGAGCGCGGCACGGAGACGGCGGCAGCGCTGGACTAGGTGGCAGGTGAGGGCGTCCCCGCGCACGGCTGGGGTAGGGGACGGGAGTGGCGAGCTTCAGGTCCACCGGCTGCCACCGAGTGATGGGACCGGAGGACAGGAGAGGTCGCTCAGCCAAGAGCCCCGGGGAGGCGGTGCCTTCTCGGTGGGGTCAGCAACGGTCTCTGGGGGGTGCCTGGGAGCGGCAGCCGGTCTCCGCCTTGGCGGCCCACAGCCACCGCGGACGCCTCCCTCCCGGATGTCTCCTCGCTGCCCTTCCCTGGCCGAAGCCCTCCCCTGCAGCCTCCTCCCCACCTGCCGGCCCTGTGTTCTCACTGCTCTTCTCTGCTCTGGGATCCGCAGGATGACGTCTGTCCTGCTTCTTCACTGTCCTTTACAGTCACCAGTCTCGGCCGGGCGCAGTGGCTCACGCCTGTAATCCCAGCACTTTGGGAGGCCAAGGCGGTCGGATCCTTGGAGATCAGGAGTTCGAGACCAGTCTGGCAAACGTGGTGAAAACCGGTCTCTACTAAAAATACAGAAATTAGCCGGGCATGGTGGCCCACGCCTGTAATAATGTCAGCTATGTGCTGAGGCAGGAAAATCACTTCAACTCGGGAGGCAGAGGTTGCAGTGAGCTGGGATTGCGCCACTGCACTCCAGCCTGGCAGACAGAGTGAGACTTCGTCTCAAAACAAAAAAAAGAAAAACACAAAAAAACCACCACCAACAACAACAAAAAAATAAAGCCACCAGTCTCGGAGTTTCAAATCTGAGCACTCTTATCCATCTTAATTCTTTCAATAATTCAGCTAAACGAATGGGGTCCTGAGAATCTGCAGAGCCAGGCTCAGCGCTCGCCTGCAGAGCCTGCGGTCTGTGGGGACCACCAGCAAGATGAGGAATCACCTTCGGGAGGAAGGGTCGTGCTGGGGAGGGTCGCGCCGGCGGGGTCAAGAGAACCTCCTCCAGGGTGGGAATCAGAGCCTCCGGGCCGCGGTGTTTGAGGGTGAGTGGAATTAATGCCGTGATGGACATGGGGCCTTCTAAGGGGGACCAACAGTGTTTGTGAAGAGTTGACTTTGGGAGGGGTTCAGGATGGCCAGAGGTGGAGGCTGTGACCTCAGTGAGTCTGGATCAAGGGAGGGGGCAGGTGGGTAAGACACCGTTTTAACAAGGTGGCTTTGAGCGGCCACCTTTGAGGGGCCTAAGGGCCCCTGGGAGATTTAGGAGGAAGGACAAGAGGATTAAGACACCGCTTTCTGAGGTGCCGTGTGGCTGTGGCGTGGGGGTGGCTGGGGGAGTGGGTTGTGTTCATTGTCCAAGGCTCTCCAGCGCTTTGCGTGGCGTTTTGGGGAGCACAGATGAGGTGTCCCGACAGTGGGGAGTGGCTCTAGGGAGACCAGAGGCTCGGGAGGGGGCCTGGGCATTAGACCAGGCACAGAATCCGAAGTGGGAAGAAATGTGGGCGTAGAGGGCAGGCCTTGGGGATGGGTGTGGGGGAGGAGGGGGAGATGGAAAGGAGTCAGGGAGGTCTCCCAGGCTCACCTGGAGGAGTCAGGGTCTCATTTCCAAGTGCACTGGGAACTGCAGCCTGGGGGTGGGGGTTCATTTGGTTTCAGGCCTGTGGCCAAGAGACCCACCCCCTCACATTCACACTTTGGTCTCCAGTGGCTTCACAGGCACCACCTCCTTGTTCTCGCCTGTTTTACTCCTCACCTTGGGCTGTTTCTTGCCTTTCCATTCTGGCGTTCTGCAGGGATCAGATCCTTCCTCTCACGCACAATCTACACTCATGGCTTTTGCTGGGAGTAATGAGTAAAGCTCCCAAATAGATGTTTCTGAGTTAGGAAGCACATTAAAAACAAAACAAAACGAAGCAAAACCACACAATTGTCCAAGTCCCACTCTGTGTTCAAGGGTCACATGATGTGCAGAAGCTGGTGATGGGCAGGAGCTCTGAATGGAGTTACTGGGATGTCAGGCCGCGTGGGCCTGGGGCAGGCTGGCTGACTGGGAGCAGCCTGGCTCCACCCCGGCTGTCCAGGACGCACTCACTTGCCTCTATGGATGACAGCTCCTTGCCTCACAGCTGTCTGTCTCTGGGTCAGATTCAGCATCTCAGTGTCTTTTGTGTATCAGCTGAATGTCAGGGAGGCCACAGGCTGGTGCCCAGTTGAAAATCTCACAAGGACTCTTTGTAAATGCATGCAAGAATAAGAACAGCATTTTCCTCCTCCTCCCTGACCCCATTCTCCTCCTCAGATGGGACGATCTGGTCCTTACGGAAAGAATTGGAGTTCACTGCTTCCAGCTCTGTGTGTGTGTGTGTGTGTGTGTGTGAGAGAGCGAGCTCTGCAGGCGAGCCAGTTCTGTTGCTATTGCTGGTTTGAGCTGCTGCCATCACCACACTTAGCTAATTACCTTAACATTTGCACTTAATTTTTGGCCGGAGACTAACAGAAAATAAATTTTTCTCCAATTTAAAATACTTACGAACTTTAAGAAGAAAACAAAAAGTACGATTCCAAAATTGCCCTGTAGTAAGTAGGTCAGTAACATTCAGGGAGTGTGGAAACTGCATTTCTCTTTATTCTTCCCTTCCAGGCCCTGCATCATGGAAACTCTTTCTAATGCAAGTGGTACTTTTGCCATACGCCTTTTAAAGATACTGTGTCAAGATAACCCTTCGCACAACGTGTTCTGTTCTCCTGTGAGCATCTCCTCTGCCCTGGCCATGGTTCTCCTAGGGGCAAAGGGAAACACCGCAACCCAGATGGCCCAGGTAAGCTTGCCCGTCCGCCAGGAGCAGGGACTGGCCTGGGCTGCGTGTTCTGTCACCAGCTTCACACTCACACTCCAGAGCCACTGAGAAAGGAGGGCAGGACTGGGGCCCGAGTGTGCACTGGCCGTTTCAGGGAGGCGGGGTCCACTGGGGAAGAAGTGGGGCAGGGCAGGGAGGCAGGAACTCTGCTCCACCGAGATTTATTTGGGGGAAACTTTCCTCGGTTAATCCCTTGGAAAAGACCATCCAAGCTGTCTTGTCCTAGCGCAGAATCTTTCTTTAGAAAATGACACTGAAATTATTTGAAACATAAGTTGCAAAGAACTACCTCTTTTTTGGAGCAAGAGACTTTGTAACTAAACTTTCATTGGTAAGGAAGGTTAATACCTGTTTCAAGTTGTTTCTGTACCAACAGCTCAGGGAGGGCATCAACAGAAATTTGCAAGAAGGATTCCAGGGCAAGTGCTTCATTACAGCTGCACACTGTGCAGGTACTGCTCAGCTCAGTCTCACCAACATTCAGAGAACCTGTGGAAATGATTCAAGATCAGTGCTTGTCCCCAGACCTTTGTGGAAAGGAGAGGAGACATACACGTGAGATGAAACCGAAAAGCGCCATCCCTGAGTGCAGGCCGCTGGACACGCCTTCATCATGGGAGTTGTCCTTTGTTCAATATGACTGTCTTTTTCTTTGATGACGCTTTTCAATAGTGAATTACTCATTTTAATAATTTCCCAGCTCATTGTGTGAAGAAGGGAGGGTTTATGTGTAAAGGCTACCAGCCTTAATAATAAGCACAGAGAGGCTCTCTAAAAGATATATATATTTGGAAATAGGGCATTGCAATGAAAATACGCATGCCATGGCAAGCTATGTGCACATTCAGGGAGGTGAAATAACACTAAGATTTTTAAAGGAAAAAGTAAAGAGGATTACATAATTCCTTTGAAATAATTATTTTTGGCAAAAAGATCAATAACGAAGGTGATGTCAGTGTGAGGTTGGATGGGGAGTTCCTGGGTAGATGTCCTTGCACAAGTATTTTGTTGTGTAAGGCTGTGATGGCCTTTGTGCAAGAGCGTAGGTTTTTAGAGTCCTTTGTGATAGTTGTGTTATCAGGCATTCAAGCGTGAGAACCCTCTCTTCATGGCCTTCCCTGTCTGTTTGTCAAAGGTTTTTGGTTTTGTTTTTTTAATATTAGTGACTCCATTTTGATTCTGAAGTTCCTTATGCTGAAATCTGTATGATCTTTTTCTATGTTTTAGGCTCACTGATAAACCCTTATAGAAAGCTTTTTTGAGAGCACCAAAATTGTCTGGGTACCTTCTTAGGTGTGAGACTGAGCTCTCTCCATGGCTCCAGTGTTCAACTGGATGCTTGTGAGACACCAAACATACTGAGTACACGTTGCTACCTGTAACATGCAGGGAAGCGTTAATGGCAGCAGAAATATTTTAAAGAATTATTTATTTTTCCTTCATTATATAACTGGTAAAAGTCCACTATAAAAATTTTTAAAAAATAAAAGTAGAAGGGAGGAAAAAATCCCTATGAATCCATCAAACAGAGACAACCACCCTTGATAATGTAAAGCATCTTCCTCCAGTCCTATTTCTTTTTTTTTTTTTCGAGACAGAGTCTTGCTCTGTCGCCCAGGCTGGAGTGCAGTGGTGCGATCTCAGCTTACTGCAAGCTCCACCCCCCGAGTTCACACCATTCTTCCACCTCAGCCTCCCGAGTAGCTGGGACTACAGGTGCCCGCCCCCACGCCCAGCTAATTTTTATTTTTAGTAGAGACAGGGTTTCACTGTGTTAGTCAGGATGGTCTCGATCACCTGACCTCGTGATCCACCCGCCTTGGCCTCCCAAAGTGCTGGGATTACAGGCGTGAGCCACTGCGCCCGGCCCTATTTCCTGATTTTCACTTGACATTTTGTACTTTGGTGATTATATGGTATCTTTACTTTTATAAATGATTTTTCAGCTAATGTGAGGATTCGGTGAGACAGTCCATGTAAAGCAAGTGCTCAACATGTGTTGGCTATGAATAGTAATAGTGGTGTCACAGCCTCAGGTGAAATTGGTCTTAGCTTTTGGTTCTGTTCTATTTGACAGGGTTTCTCATCAACAGTCTATGAGCTGTCTAAAGTAAATTTAGTAGCTTCCTCTTTTTTCTATGTTATAGAACAGTGTGTATTGCATGAGAAATAGAAATTGCTTGAATATTAGAAAAAAAAATCCCTCAAAAGATCATCTAAGCCTTTTTAGAAGTAATTCTCTCTCTCCCTCTTATTTTTTTTTTGTTCATTCATTGTGACTGATAGATTCTGTTTTTTGTTTGTTTTGTTTGTTTTGTTTTGTTTTTTGAGATAGAGTCTCTGCTCTGTCACCCAGGCTGGAGTGCAGTGGTGCTATCTCAGCTCACTACGACCTCCAACTCCCGAGTTCAAGTTCACGTGATTCTCCTGCCTCAGCCTCCCGAGTAGCTGGGATTACAGGCACATGTCACCATGCCTGGCTAGTATTCATATTTTTGACTGGCATTTGGTAACTTATAATCTGTACTTTACTGAAAATAATTATATAGAGTTTTTGTTTTAACATTCCCTTTGTTTATATTGCTGTAACCTCTTTTTCACATATAACTTTACTTTGGGGTGCTTTTTCTTACATGTGGTGGGTGGCTGTCTGTTTTGTATGTATGTGTGTTTTCTTTTAAAGAACCAGCTCTTGGATTCATTGATCATTTTGTGTTTGTCCCAAAATTCCTTGGGAGTTTTTCTGTATCTTTTCTAACATAATGATTTTAAAGTTTTAGCATTTTATTACTTTCTTGGTAATATTGAAAACAATGCTATGTTTTAACTTATCTTTGGCCAAACTCTTTGGTCTAATATATATCACCCATATTTTGATTATTTTCTAAATCATATGTCATATACTTATTTAGAAGAATTTGTTTGTTTGTTTGTTTTTTGAGAAGGAGTCTTGCTCTGTTGCCCAGGCTGGAGTGCAGTGGTATGACCTTGGCTCACTGCAACTTCCGCCTCCTGGGTTCAAGTGATTCTCCTGCCTCAGCCTCCCAAGTAGCTGGGATTACCAGCAAGCATCACCACACCCGGCTAATTTTCGTATTTTTAGTAGAGACAGGATTTCGCCATCTTGGCCAGGCTGGTCTTGAACTCCTGACCTCAAGTGATCTGCCCGCCTCGGCCCCCCAAAGTGCTGGGATTACAGGCATGAGCCACTGTGCCCAGCCTAGAAGAATATTTTAAATATTTGTTTAGAAGAGGATTTTTTGTGTTTTTTTTTTTTTTTTGACATGGTCTTGCTCTGTCTCCTAGGCTGGAGTGCAGCAGCTTGATCATAGCTCACTGCAGCCTCAAAGTCCTGGGCTCCAGCAATCCTCCCATCTCAGCCTTCCAAGTAGCTGGGACCACAGGCACACACCATCATGCCCAGCTAAGTGGAGATGGGATCTTGCAATGTTGCCCAGGCTAGCCTCAAACTCTTGGGCTCAAACAATCCTCCTGCCTTGGCCTCCAAAAGTGCTGGGATTATAGGCATGAGCCACTGTGCCTGGCCTAGAAAAGTATTTTAATTTTTACTTTGAAGAGTTAATTATTTAGAAAAGTGTTTTCAGTAATATTTTGTAGGTGATTTTCATTTTGTTGGCATTTTATTTATAATGCTGATTTTTTGTTACTACATTGAAGTTAGAGAATATGATCTATATAATTCTGTATTTCAGAATGTATTGGGATGTTGAGACTTTTCTTATGGCCCAATATGTGTGATATATTTTGAAATATTTAATATACACACATGTAGTCCCTATAGGGTACAATTTTAATAACTGTGTTATTGTCTTATTAATCACATTGCTCATGTAATATCCTTGTTTCCTTTTGAGGATTCTGATGATTGTATTTCCGTCTATTTTTCCATGCATTTTTTCTGCTTTTAACTTTTTAACTGCATCTTTTTTTTTCACTATAAATTTTAGAGGTAATTTTCCCACCACTTAGGGTACATTTATATTTTCCTTTTGATGCAAGATTTTATCACAACCTCTTTTCTGAGCTTTTCTCACCCTTGTCATTTTTTGTGTGTTACTGATCTTTAAACAAGCGAGATCCATTCAGGCAGAATGGCTACATCTTTTACTCGCCTGTTTTCTGTCCCCTCTCTCTCCTCTCCCCAGCCATCAAAGAGCTATCTTGATAACTTTTAAAATTATCTTTCACAACAGGCACTGTCTTTAAACACAGAGGAAGACATTCATCGGGCTTTCCAGTCGCTTCTCACTGAAGTGAACAAGGCTGGCACACAGTACCTGCTGAGAACGGCCAACAGGCTCTTTGGAGAGAAAACTTGTCAGTTCCTCTCAGTAAGTTGAATCAATAGAACAATAAAAGTTGCATTCAACATACCTGGTGATATAGAGTCTGGGAGAAAGACCCTAGAGAAATTGAGAAATTTATGTTAACCAATTTAAAAAAATTGCACTATTTTTTTTTCTAAGATGGGGTCTCACTACGTTGCCCAGGCTGGTCTTAAACTCCTGGTCTCAAGTGATCCTCCTGCCTGTTGGGATTACAGATGTGAGCCACCACGCCCAGCCTAAACTTCTTTTTTTTTTTAAAGACTGCAATTCTATAATTATACCTTGCATTAGTATTGCAAAAGTAGTCTCTACTTTTCTTGAAAGGTAAAATTGAAAGGTAAAATTCTCAAGTTCATTTCTGGTTATTCAGGGTTCAATACATACCTATTCACAAACTCTGATATTTTAACATATCTTCATATGATCACTTTTAAAGAGTTATGTATATTCTTTTTATTAAAAAAAGATAACATATTTAGAATTTTTGGAAGTTTGCTGACATTTGTATTTAGCAATGCAGCCTCACTGAACATTTTTCTCTCCAAAGACGTTTAAGGAATCCTGTCTTCAATTCTACCATGCTGAGCTGAAGGAGCTTTCCTTTATCAGAGCTGCAGAAGAGTCCAGGAAACACATCAACACCTGGGTCTCAAAAAAGACCGAAGGTCAGAATGACAAGTTATTGCACCTTCCTCCCAACCCGTCCTCCTCCTGCGGCTCTTCCTATTCCTCCTTCCCGCCTCTTATATCCTCTCTCCTCCTCCTCTCCCTCCTATCCCTCCTCCCTCTCCTCACCCACCTCCACCTCTCCACTCCGCCCCCTCTAATTTCACGGGTGTTTCAGATGGTCAGAGTAGTGTTGACTGGCAGGGCCTCCTGGCATACTGAACCTTGATGGACTCATAAAGGTTCTGATCAGACATTCAGGTTTTCAGCAACAGAGATTTACTTTTGTCTATTCTCCCAGGACCAGAGTAGCTGATACAAATGTCAAAAGAGGGCCAGCCACGGTGGCTCTCGCCTGTAATCCCAGCAATTTAGAAGGCCGAAGTGGACATATCACTTGAGGTCAGGAGTTCGAGACCAGCCTGACCAACATGGTGGGACCCCCCCCCGCCCAACATCTCTACTAAAAATACAAAAATTAGCCAGGTGTGGTGGCCCATGCCTGTAATCCCAGCTGCTTGGGAGGCTGAGACATGAGAATCACTTGAACCTGGGAGGCAGAAGTTGTAGTGAGCTGAGATCATGCCACTGAACTCCAGCCTGTCTCAAAAACAAAAAACAAACAAAAAAACAAATGTCAAAAGAATCTCAGGCCAGGTTTCCAGTTTAATAACTTGCATTAAAATATACTCTCCCTGGCCTGT
Source organism: Homo sapiens (assembly GCF_000001405.40). Lineage (NCBI taxonomy): Eukaryota > Metazoa > Chordata > Mammalia > Primates > Hominidae > Homo > Homo sapiens. Next base: position 2,894,685 of record NC_000006.12, on the reverse strand, counting down.
AACATTCACATGTCAGGTGACTCCATTGTCTCTGCGAGAAGGAGATTGGTGGACAGATCTTGCCTGAGGTATACACTTGGGCTGCCTCTTCCTAGGTTCTGGGGGACCTCCATCACCATTACCTTTACCTGCTAAGGTCACTCCTGACTTTTCATGTCTTCCACTTAAGCTCCTTTAGTTTGACTTGATAAGCCTACATTTGATTGGTTAACTGCCGACCCTCTCTCAGGGCTGATCAGTTCCACAGACTGAAAATACCCTCCATTTGGGGTTGAACCTTATTCATCTACATTTCAGAAAGTGACGTGTTCCAGTCTAGGCCTCCAAGACCAATGATGGTCTGATGAACCATTCAGACTCCTCTGCGCCAATTATGCTTAGTACCACCAGGAACATTTCCATTTCTGTGAATAAATGAGACGGTAAAGAATGGGAGACGTTCTTCGCTTAAAGTCTCAGCAGTTGTTTCCCGCATTCCTGCTTGGAGTATTTACCACGGATGCTCTCTTCAGGCAGTGGGTTAGCAGGGATGCCCTCAGTTCATTGAAACAGTACCACTTGATCTCCAGGGAAAGAAGGGGTGATCTTTGTTTGCCCACATCCTCTTTTCCAGGGATGCCTAGTGCTTTGTTGAGGGGATTCAGCAGGAATATCTCCTCCAAAAGCTTCTGGAAACTCCCCATGTGCCCAATGTCAGCTCTTCCCGCTTTGAGCCGTCCATTCTGGTTGCTTCTGACATGTCCATGTATAGTCACAGAATGTTAGAACTGGGTGTGATCATGAAGGGTTGGATCAAACACTCCAATTAACCATGTGAGACAAACACCCCTTCAGCCTATCACATTTCCTGCTGGTCTTGTTCTCCAACCTGGTGTAATTTTTCTACTTTGTACCAACCTGCTTTCCTCGAGTGACTTAGGTATCTTTCACCATCCTCAACTTGGTGGATGTTCTCAAGGTGTCAGTAATCATGAATACCACTCATATGTGCTGTTTTTATTTCTCTACATAACAACCCAAACTCAGCAAAGTTGAAAACAGAAGTTTGCTTCTCAACTAATGATCCAGGATCATCCAATGCATCAGGTTCTTATAAAAAGCAACTGAATGTAGTCTCTACTTTTCTTGAAAGGTAAAATTGAAGAGTTGTTGCCGGGTAGCTCAATTGATGCAGAAACCAGGCTGGTTCTTGTCAATGCCATCTACTTCAAAGGAAAGTGGAATGAACCGTTTGACGAAACATACACAAGGGAAATGCCCTTTAAAATAAACCAGGTGGGGGAAGCTTTTTAAAATCCTGCTAGTTTGATGAAGAAGTTGAATGGAAAGATTTAACTTTGTAAAAGTGTAAGTGACATAAGCGTAAGCCAAAAGGAATTTGAAACTTAAAGTATTTCTGAATGAATTTCTTAACTCAGTAGAAAAAAACGGAAGGAGTAAAAGATATTTGCTGCATATATATATTATATATACGTATATATAATATATATATATATATGTAGTGTTTTATCACTGCTCTTAACTGCCTTTGATAATTTCTCATAAACCATTGCTGCCACCTAGTTTTGGAAACTAAAGATCTTCCTATAAGCCCAATTTACTTGGCTAGAAAGCAAAAAAAAAAAAAAAAAAGTGTTAAGGTAGTGTGATATGTGGGAGTGAGAGGCAGTATAGGGCAGGGTAGAGGGAGAGAAGGTGAAAACATGTGTCTTTAATTAGTTATTTTTAAAATTAAAGTAAGTTTTGATTTGAATTGTTAACTAATTATCATTAATTCAGTATTTACAGCTTTTTAATATTAAAACTTCATGACAAAGACCTTAGTTTTGACATTGAAGTAAAACTTAATTAAGGCAGGCATTAGAATAATTTGCCAAATCTTCCAGCCCCTAAAAAGATACTATTTTAATGTAATTAAAAAACAAAAGCAGGTAACCCTCCTGCATTTTTTGTAAGGTGTACTTTAACTTAAAAAAATTAGTTCTCTAGTTGCAAAGGGTGGGAGGAGGAGAATTCTAACCCTGGTTTTAGAACTATTTTAATTTTTATAATAAATGATCTGTATCAATTTTTTAAAGTATTACGTTAATAAATGTAATACTTTGCTGAGCTTCTATGTGCTTATGCCTCTTCTGTATTTTAAAAAAGTTATTTCATTAGAGTATCAGAATTGAAAAGATTGGGTTAAAATACATTACTACATATGTAGGTCGTTACTCTTTCTGAGAGAGTGTATCCATTTATACTCCCTGTCATGCTGTTGTGGAACTATAAGTTTCATCCCACTTTATGATTTTTTTTCTCATATGTTGGGTTGGATAAATAGGAAAAACAATACACATTTTTTTCTAATTAAATCAAAACAAATTTGTATTTAATTTCATTTGATTATATTGCTTTCTTAGATCTATTTGCTGAGCACAATTTAAATGAGAAACATCTTTCTCCTCTGGAAAATGTAGGGTATCACATTTTATTTTGCAGAAGAAAACCTTTCCCAGGGTGGTACTGTGTCTGCTTGCAATGAAGATAGGAAGGAACTGGTTGACTTTTTTTTTTTTTTTTTTTTTTTTTTTTTTTAGTGTTAACTGGGGCATGAATGTGGCGGTTTCCATCACAGGTGCTGAAAACACTCTTGGAGGCAACTGCAGCTCTTTTGAAAGTTTTAATTGCGTCTTTCAATAATCCTTCCCCCAGGAGGAGCAAAGGCCAGTGCAGATGATGTATCAGGAGGCCACGTTTAAGCTCGCCCACGTGGGCGAGGTGCGCGCGCAGCTGCTGGAGCTGCCCTACGCCAGGAAGGAGCTGAGCCTGCTGGTGCTGCTGCCTGACGACGGCGTGGAGCTCAGCACGGTAAGACCCGGGCTGCGGGAAGAACCCAGGGACACCTTTGCGGGCAGAACTCGAGTGCCACTTCCACCTCTCATATTCACCTTCTGAGTTGGCGATGCGGCAGACGCACACTGTGCAGGCACTTGGCGTTGGGATCGAACTTTTGTTCAAGGCTGACTTTTCCCAATATTGTCTGCGTGATCTGCCAAACTACACATCTCAGTCCTCTGTTTTTTCATCGCTAGAAGGAGTGGGCGGCGGTTAAAATGCCTTTTAAAATAAATCAGGTAGGAGGAAGCTTATAAAAATCCTGCTAGTTTGATGAATGGCAGACTTTTAACTCTAAAAGCATAAATGACTGCTCGGGGTTATTGCCTCCTAGAGTTATGATGAGGATAAAATGTGGGTAATTCAGGTAACAAGCTTACCACATTGCCTGGCAACTAGTAAATGCTCTACAAATGTGATCCATTATTACAATCATCATTCTTAGCATTATGCTTTTAAAGTCTAGGAACCTGAAATAGAGAATGAGGAAGTCTTAACTTTGACCTAACAAGGCTGGGAGGGGGCATCCAGGGAGGTGTGAAGTCCAGTTCTCAGAGGGTGGGACCAGAGGCAGCCTCTGAGGGCACATCCAGGCACTCGGCTTCCTTTCAGCATGGATCTCCAGGGTGAGAGAGTCAACCATGGCAAATGGCAGGCAGTGGGACCCCATGACTTAAGAGGTCTGTGTGCGCAGCAGCCATTGGCTCTCCCTCTGCCCACCTTCCTGAAACTATGCTCCGGAAACTATGCAGAATCTCTCTGGGGCAGATAATCCTCTGGTAACCTCTCTGCTCCGGAAACTATGCAGAATCTCACCTGGGACAGATAATCCTGTTGGAGTGGCTCACACTGAGAGCCCTTTCGTTTCCAATCCTTTTCTTTACTAGCAATGGTTTGTTGTCTTTAAAAAGACTATGTTTGAAAAAAAAACACAGTCGCCTGGGCATTGACACTTGTCACAATACAAGATGTCTCTGGAGTTGTTGGATAAGGAGAGGACAGCCACAGCCTTCCTGCCTCTGACTGCTTGGTGTCTCTCCCCCTTGTCAAGGAAGTGGCACATGGGACATAGGACAAGTAAGAGTGCTCACAAGCTTCTGGCAGATGAAGGGGCCACTGATCCTATGTGAACAAACAACACCTACGTGCAAGGGGAGGAAGGGAACTGTGAGTGCCTGTGCGCTTGTACATGTGCACTGAAGTCGGAATCTTAAAGTCTAATTCTGGTCTTTCAGGTGGAAAAAAGTCTCACTTTTGAGAAACTCACAGCCTGGACCAAGCCAGACTGTATGAAGAGTACTGAGGTTGAAGTTCTCCTTCCAAAATTTAAACTACAAGAGGATTATGACATGGAATCTGTGCTTCGGCATTTGGGAATTGTTGATGCCTTCCAACAGGGCAAGGCTGACTTGTCGGCAATGTCAGCGGAGAGAGACCTGTGTCTGTCCAAGTTCGTGCACAAGAGTTTTGTGGAGGTGAATGAAGAAGGCACCGAGGCAGCGGCAGCGTCGAGCTGCTTTGTAGTTGCAGAGTGCTGCATGGAATCTGGCCCCAGGTTCTGTGCTGACCACCCTTTCCTTTTCTTCATCAGGCACAACAGAGCCAACAGCATTCTGTTCTGTGGCAGGTTCTCATCGCCATAAAGGGTGCACTTACCGTGCACTCGGCCATTTCCCTCTTCCTGTGTCCCCAGATCCCCACTACAGCTCCAAGAGGATGGGCCTAGAAAGCCAAGTGCAAAGATGAGGGCAGATTCTTTACCTGTCTGCCCTCATGATTTGCCAGCATGAATTCATGATGCTCCACACTCGCTTATGCTACTTAATCAGAATCTTGAGAAAATAGACCATAATGATTCCCTGTTGTATTAAAATTGCAGTCCAAATCCCATAGGATGGCAAGCAAAGTTCTTCTAGAATTCCACATGCAATTCACTCTGGCGACCCTGTGCTTTCCTGACACTGCGAATACATTCCTTAACCCGCTGCCTCAGTGGTAATAAATGGTGCTAGATATTGCTACTATTTTATAGATTTCCTGGTGCTTAGCCTTATAAAAAAGGTTGTAAAATGTACATTTATATTTTATCTTTTTTTTTTTTTTTTTTCTGAGACGCAGTCTGGCTCTCTGTCGCCCAGGCTGGAGTGCAGTGGCTCGATCTCGGCTCACTGCAAGCTCCGCCTCCCGGGTTCACGCCATTCTCCTGCCTCAGCCTCCCGAGTAGCTGGGACTACAGGCGCCCGCCACCACGCCCGGCTAATTTTTTGTATTTTTAGTAGAGACGGGGTTTCACCGTGTTAGCCAGGATGGTGTCGATCTCCTGACCTCGTGATCCACCCGCCTCGGCCTCCCAAAGTGCTGGGATTACAGGCTTGAGCCACCGCGCCCGGCTATATTTTATCTTTTATCTTTTTCTTTGACATTTACCAATCACCAAGCATGCACCAAACACTGCTTTAGGCACTGGGGACACAAAGGGGACAGAGCCATCCTCCTTTGACACCTGGTCTTCAGTTCTGTGCCCAACGTATATAGTTTTGACAATGACCAGGTTGGACTGTTTAATGTCTTTCAACTTACCACGTAATCCTCTTGTAGGGATCACATCTTTCTTTATGATATTGTATTTCTCTACCTCTAACAGTAAAAATTCCATTCAACCCTTAAAGCTCACTTCAAATTCTTCTTTGAGAAGTTTTTCCTTTCTCCGCAACCAGATGTACATATTTGAACTCTCTTTGTACTTGGAGGGCACTTCTTTCGTGGTAGTTCTTTTATTTTTATTAATCTCTGTATCCTTAGATAGTCCTCCAACAACCAAAGGTTGGGACTCTGTCTTACATATCTGGGTGCCCCTCATAGTGCAGTAATAAGTAAGTTGATTATATACGAGCTATGTAACTTATATTTTTTAATGGTTGGATATCACTGAGTTTTTTTTTTTAAGAATTTTTTTATTGAGGTAAACTTCACATAACATAAAATTAACTATTTTAAAGTGAGAAGTTCAGTGCCACTTAGTATTGTTAACAATGTTGCATAACCACCACCTTTATTTAAAGTTCCAAAAAAAATGTTCTCCTCTAAAAGGAAACCCCATCCCATTAAGCAGATACTCTCCATTCCTTCCTTCCTCCAGCCCCCAGCAACCACCAATCTGCTTTCTGTCTCTATGGATTTATCTATTCTTGCTATTTTATATAAATTGAATTGTATGAGACCTTTTGTGTCTGGCTTCTTTCACTTAGTACAAGTTTTTGAGATTTATTTACATAGTAGCATGTATCAACACTTCATTTTTATGGCCAAATAAAATTGTATTATGTGTTTATAGCACAATTTATTTATCCACTCATTCATTGATGGACTTTGGGTTGTTTCTGACTTTTGGCTATTGGGAATAGTGCTGCTATGAATGTTTGTGTACCTGTATTTGTTTGAATGCCTATTTTGCATTCTCTTGGGTATATATCTAGGAGTGGAACTGCTGGGTCATATGTTAATTCTATGTTTAGCTTTTTGAGGAACAGACAAACTGTTTTCCACAGCAGTTGAACCATTCCACATTCCCACCAGCAATGTATGAGAATTCCAATTTCTGTCCACTTCCTCACCAACACTTATTATTTTCCTTTTCCTTTTTTTAAAAAAAATAAGTTATGGCCATCTTAGTGGGTGTGAAGTGGTATCTCATTGTGTTTTTTATTTGCATTTCCTATGTAATGAGCTAGAAACTAAAGTACAAACTAGATGGGACATCCAGTCCCTTTGATAGATAATGCTGAGTAAAAAATGAGATGAAAGACATTTGTTTGTTTTTAGAACACGAGTGACAGTTTGTTAAAAAGCTTTAGAGGAGGAATGAAAACAAAGTGAAGTACACTTAGAAAAGGGCCAAGTGGACATCTTGGATGTCAAGTGCCTAGTTCAGTATCTTTTTTTTTTTTTTTTTTTTTTTTGAGACAGTGCCTCACTCTGTCACCCAGGCTGGAGTGTAGTGGCATGATCTGGGCTCACTGCAACCTCCTCCTCCTGGATTCAAGCAATTCTCTTGCTTCAGCCTCCCAAGTAGCTGAGACTACAAGCACCCACCATCACACCCAGCTAATTTTGTATTTTTCAGTAGAGACGGGGTTTCGCCACATTGGCCGTGTTGGTCTTGAACTCCTGGCCTCAAGCGATCCGCCTACCTCAGCCTCCCAAAGTGCTAGGATTACAGGCATAAGCCACTGAGCCCAGCCCTAGTTCAGTATCTTTTATGTAAATTACAAACATCTGCAACATTATGTATCATATGCAGATACTTATTGCATTTCTTTTATTAGTGGTGAAAGTGTTCTATGCATTTATTGGCTCTTGAATTTCCTCATCTATGAATTGTCATTCATACACCTACTTTTCTGCTTCGTTTTTACATATGTCTTTGCCTATTAAAGATATTATCCCTCTGTTTTATATTTTCTCTCATTCTTGTATTGCCTTTTAAATTTTGTTATGATGTTTCATTAATAAACAGTGTTTTGTTTTCCTCTATAATCAAATCTAGATTTTCCCTTTGTGATTTCCGACACCACTTCCATTCTTAGAAGTACTTTTCCATTCATAAAGTAGTAAAATAAAATAGTTTTTTCTCTAAACTTTTATTTTTGTAATGATTTAACTAATTCACATGGAATTTGATTTTGTATTATTGACATTCAGGAGAAAGCATAATTTTATTTATTAGCCAATTTCTGGATATTGTAAATCTATTTTTCCATCTTTATTCTTCTGGTGAACTTTAGAATAATTTTTTAATACCCAAAGTAATTTTTTTAACTTTCAATTTTTTGGGAGGAAGGATTAGCATGACATTAAGCATATAAATTACTTGAGTAAATTGATGTATTTACAATGTTTAGTCATCTCATTAAGGAAAATGAGAAGAGTCTCCATTTATTCAAGCCCTTTTCTATACTACTTTTATTAAAACTTTTTTTTTGAGTTTTTTTCAATATAAGTCCTACATATCTTTTTTTTCTTGTTATGGCTATTTCTAAATTTTAGTAACAATTTTAAACAAGAGCATTTCCCCTGACCTGATTATGGATGGCATATAAGTAAACCATTGAAGCTTATACATTTATCTTGTGCATGACCAATTTGGTATAGCCTTTTGGTAATTTAAGAATTTTCAGTAAATCATCTTGGAGTTTCTGCTATATGATTATGCAATAGGCAAACGATCTTTACTATGTACGTAACGGTATATGCAAATAAGAAAGAGGACATCCTTCTAACTGACACACCCCTAGTGTCTGTTTTTTGTTTATTGTTTTGTCTTTGTCTTTTTTGCATTACCCAGGCAGGAGACAACTTTCTGTGGTTTAGATATTTGTTCCCCCACATTTCATGTTGAAACATGATCCCCAATGTTGGAGGTGGGGTCTAATGGGAAGTATTTGGATCATGGGGGCATGAATGGCTTGGTGCCATCCTCGAGGTAATGAGTGAGTTCTGGCTTTATTTGTTCCCCTGAGAACTGGTTGTTAAAAAGAGCCTGACACCTGCCCTCTGTCTCTTGCTTTTGATCTATTGCCTTGTGATCTCTGCACATGGCAGTTCACCTTCACCTTTTGCCATCAGTGGAAGCAGCCTGAGTCCTCACCAGAAGCAGATGCTGGTGCCATGCCTTTTGTACAGCCCGCAGAACTGTGAGTCAAATAAACCTCTTCTCTTTGTGAATTACCCAGCCTCATGTATGTGGTTTTTTTTTTTATAGCAACACAAATGAACCAAGACACAGAGGGCACAATCATGACAGAAATTCTTGTTCCGCTCTCTGTTTTAATTTAGAGGTTGATAATATCCAGTATTGGTGAGCATACGAGAAAACAGGCATCCTTACCTTGTGTGTGGGAATGTGGATTAAGGGTTTTTGGAAGGAAGTGGGCAGCCTTTTCATTTTAAATGGACATTCTTTTTGGGCCAGCATCTCACTTTTAGATGTCTGATCTACATAAGTATTTGCATACATGCTTAGATATGCTAAGGTTTTCCCTGTAGTATTTTCAAAGGCATTTTTGCAGGGTAATTTAAAAAATCGTGGTAAAGAAAAACAAAATTTACCATCTTAAGCATTTCTAAGTGTACAGTTAGCATTGTTGAATAGCAAAAAAGGAAAGAAAAAGGAAGGAAGGAAAGAAGGTAGAGAGGGAGGGAGGGAAAAAACAAAGAAAATGAAGTGTAATTAATTCAATTTTAATTTTGCCTTCAATAGGAGAAGAATTTAATTTATAGTATGAACTACTATGCAGAATTTTAAAATATCACAATAGGTTCAAATGCACTTCTTGTAAAACACTATGAAAACAAATTAAGTGAAAAATGTAACTGGCAATGCAATGTGTATAATATGATCTCATTTATGTGAACGAAACCCTGTGTATGTAAATTTATGTATACAAATCTATGGGGAGAGGTTTAAAAGGTGACACTTTTCATTGCTAACAGAGGTTGTCTCTGAGATAGGTTTGGGGAAGGAGATGTGGGAAAAAACCTTCCATTTTTTGCCTTCTATATTTCTGTAATATTTAAAATTTTAACAAGGAAAATCTAATTCTGTAGCCTGCACATAATCTAAAGAAAGAAGAACTCCATTATACAACCATATATCTAATATTAAGTGACATGGTATTGAAATTGAAATAAAATCCATATAAATGGTTTTTGAAAATATCTGTTTATCCTTGGTTTTTATAAAAGTTTTTAATGAGAATGGCATTTGAACATTGACTTCCCCTTTTCATGAATAAAGTCTATTTCTGCCTTTTCTTATGTTTAAGAGCTGTTTTTATTTCCTGTTCTGTGAATTGGCTTCATATACTTCACCCATATTTTTCTTCAGGAGTGTAGGCCTAGTATGCATGGATGAGTAGAAGCATTTTTTATACTCAAGGAATTAAGCCGAGCACAGTGGCACGTACCTGTAGTCCCAGCTGCTTGGGAGGCTGGGGCGGAAGAACTGCTTGAGCCCAGGAGGCTGTAGTGTGCTATGATTGTGCTTGTTAATAGCCAATGCCCTTCAGCCTGGGCAATGCAGTGAGGCCCCCATCTCTTAAAAAAAAATGGTAAGAAAGAGATTAGCCTTTTGTCTATGAAATGAATCATAAATATATCCCTAGATTGTTATTTGTATTTTATCTTGTTTACAGTATTTTCACCATGTGAAATTAGAGTTTTTATGTAGTCAAATTTATGAATCTTTTAGCTTCCAGGTTTTGTGACTGTTTATTCCTTCCTCAGCCAACTCCAATCTGGTTTGTGCTCCACCATTACACGAAATAAATGGTCACCAACACCCTCCTTGTTCCTAAGTTCAATAGAAACCTGACTTTTTGGCAATATTCTACCCTTTTGGAGACTTCTTCCTTAAGAAACACTTTTTGCTTTGGGTCCTGATCTTCCTTCTAGCTTCCTGGCCTCTCTTGCTTAGTCTCATTGTCCTGCCCTTTCCCTGGCCCATGCTTTAAATATTGCTATCCCTTGCGGGGCTGGCCTGAGTCTTCTTTCATCCACTTTCTCCCAAATTGGTCTGGCCCTCATCAATGACCTGACTGCCAGCCCAGAGCTCAGATCTCTCTCCTGAGCTCCAGACCCAAATCTCTACTTGCTCATCCTATCCTTCCATTTGGACACACAAGTATCTCTACCTCAATGTATCCAAAGCCAAGATTATTACCCACCTTCCCAACACACCTTCTTGGATTCACCAGAGCAGGGATCAAGTTCACTTCATCAGCTCTGCATACTGGACACCTCACTCAGTGTCTTCTGCTCCTTATGAATTATCAGTTGCATTAAACTGAAAGGCAAGACAATCCGTGCTGTTACCCAAGCTGGACAATGAGACACCTTCTTCCCCCGTCACTCTGTCATGCAAATTTAAATAGCACCTTTTGATACTGCCTACAGGTTGCCTATAGCAATCACTCAGTTGATTCCAACACATGTATTCTCACTTGTCTTCCTTCCTCTTCTTGCCTCCTCCAACCCATTCTCCACATTCCTTGCAGAGAAGTCTTTCCTAAAAGTAAATCTAGGTAATCCTAGCTGCTACAACATAAACCTGCAGTCTCAATAGTGTAACACAATGGAAATCTATTTCTTGCTCACATAAAATAAAAAATAAAAAATGAGGTGTCCAGTATGCAGAGCTGATGTATATATATATATATATCTCACAGTTTCTTTACCCATTCATTGACTGATGGGCATTTGGGTTGGTTCCAGGATTTTTGCAATTGTGAATTGTGCTACTATAAACATGCATGTACAAGTATCTTTTTTGAATAATGAGTTCTTTTCCTCTGAGTAGAGGGAATCCCATTACCCAGTAGTGGGATTGCTGGATCAAATGGTAGTTCTACCTTAAGTTATTTAAGGAATCTCCACACTGTTTTCCATAGCGGATGTACTAGTTTACATTCCCATCAGCAGTGTAGAAGTGTTCGCTGATCACTGCAGTGTTCCCTGATCACCGCATCCATGCCAACATCTAATGTCTTTTTGATTTTTTGATTATGGCCATTCTTGCAGGAATAAGGTGGTATCACATTGTGGTTTTGATTTGCATTTTCCTGATCATTAGTGATCTTGAACATTTTTTCTTTCTTTTTTTTTTTTTTTTTTTTGAGATGGAGTTTTGCTCTGTCACCCAGATTGGAGTGCAGTGGCGCGATCTCCACTCATTGCAACATCCGCCTCCCAGGTTCAAGCGATTCTCCTGCCTCAGCCTCCTGAGTAGCTGGGATTACAAGCACATGCCACCACACACGGCTAATTTTTGTATTTTTAATAGAGACGGGGTTTCACCATGTTGGTCAGGCTGGTCTCGGACTCCTGACCTCATGATCTGCCTGCCTTGCCCTCCCAAAGTGCTGGGATTACAGGCATGAGCCACTGCGATTGGCCTTGAGAAATGTCTATTCATGCCAGCCCAATTTTTGATGGGACTGTTTCTTTTTTTCTTGCTAATTTGTTTGAGTTTCTTCTAGATTCTGGATATTAGTCCCTTGTCAGATGTATGGATTGTGAAGATTTTCTCCCACTCTGTGTGTTGTCTGTTTACTCTGTTGACTGTTCCTTTTGCTGTGCAAAAGCTCTTTAGTTTAATTAGGTCCCAGCTATTTATGTTTGTTTTTATTGCATTTGCTTCTGGGTTCTTGGTCATGAAATCCTTGCCTAAGCCAATGTGTTGAAGGATTTTTCCAATATCATCTTCTAGAATTTTTATAGTTTCAGGTCTTAGGTTTAAGTCCTTAATCCATCTTGAGTTGATTTTTGTATAAGGTGAGAGATGAGGATCCAATTTCATTCTCCTACATGTGGCTAGCCAATTATCCCAGCACCATTTGTTGAAAAGGGTGTCCTTTCCCCCACTTTATGTTTTTGTTTGCTTTGTCGAATATCAGTTGGCTGTAAGTATTTGAGTTTATTTCTGGGTTCTCTATTCTGTCCATTGGTCTATGTGCCTATTTTTATACCAGTACCATGCTGTTTTGTTGACTACAGCCTTATAGTATAGTTTGAAATCAGGTAATGTGATGCCTCCAGATTTGTTCTTTTTGCTTAGTCTTGCTTTGGCTATGTGGGCTCTTTTTTGGTTCCATATGAATTTTAGAATTGTTTTTTCTAACTCTGTGAAGAATGATGGTGGTATTTTGATGGGGATTGCATTGAATTTGTAGATTGCTTTTGGCAGTATGGTCATTTTCACAATATTGATTCTACCCATCTATGAGCATGGGATGTGTTTCTATTTGTTTGTGTCATCTATGATTTCTTTCAGCAGTTTTTTTTAGTTTTCCTTGTAGAGAGGTCTTTCAACTCCTTTGTTAGGTATAGTCCTAAGGTTTTTGTTTGTTTGTTTGTGTTTTTTTGCAACTATTGTAAAAGGGGTTGAATTTTTTATTTGATTCTCTGCTTGGTTGCTGTTGGTGTATAGAAGAGCTACTGACTTGTATACATTAATCACATATCCGGAAATATTGCTGAATTATTTTACCAGTTCTAGGAGCTTTCTGGAGGAGTCCTTCGGGTTTTCAAGGTAAATGATCATATTGTCAACAAACAGTGACAGTTTCACTTCCTCTTTTTGATTTGATTTGATTCTCTGCTTGGTCGCTGTTGGTGTATAGAAGAGCTACTGATTTGTGTACATTAATCTCATATCTAGAAACACTGCTAAATTATTTTATCAGTTCTAGGAGCTTTCTGGAGGAGTCCTTAGGGTTTTGAAGGTAAACAATCATTTCATCAGCAAACAGTGAGTTTAACTTCCTCTTTACCGATTTGGATGTCCTTGATTTCTTTCTTTTGTCTGATTGCTCTGGCTAGGACTGCCAGTACTATGTTGAGGAGGAGTACTAAGAGTGGGCATCCTTGTCTTGTTCCCATTCTCAGAGGGAATGCTTTCAACTTTTCCCCATTCAGTATTATGTTGGCTGTGGGTTTGTCATAGATGGCTTTTGTTACATTAAGGTATGTCCTTTGTATGCCGATTTTGCTGAGGGTTTTAATCATAAAGCGATGCTGGATTTTGTCAAATGCTTTTTCTGCATCTATTGAGATGATCATGTGAACTTTGTTTTTAGTTATGTTTATGTGATGTATCACATTTATTGACTTGTGTATGTTAAACCATCCCTGCATCCCTGATATGAAACCCACTTGATCATGGTGGATTATCTTTTTGATATGTTGTTGTATTCAGTTAGCTGGTATTTTGTTAAGGATTTTAGCTCTATGTTCATCAGGGATATCAGTCTGTAGTTTTCTTTTTTGGTTGTGTCCTTTCCTGGTTTTGCTATTAGGGTGATGTTGGCTTTGTAGAATGAATTAGGGAGGGTTCCTTCTTTCTATTTTGTGCAATAGTGTCAAAAGGATTGGTACCAATTCTTCTTTGAATGTCTGGTAGAATTCTGCTGTGAATCTCTCTGGTCCTGGACTTTATTTGTCGGTAATTTTAAAATTACCATTTCAATCTTGCTGCTTGTTATTGGTCTGTTCAGGGTATCTAATTCTTCCTGATTTAAGCTAGGACGGTTATATTTTTTCCAGGAATTTATCCATCTCTGCTAGGTTTTCTAGTTTATGTGCGTAAATGTGTTTGTAATAGCCTTGAATGATCCTTTGAATTTCAGTTGTGCCAGTTGTAATGTCTCCTGTTTCATTTCATAGTGAGGGTATTTGGATTTTCTATCTTCTTTTCTTGGTTAATCTTGCTAATGGCCTATCAATTTTATTTATCTTTCCAAAGAACCAGCTGTTTGTTTCATTTATCTTTTGTATTTTATTTTTTGTTTCAATTTCATTTAGTTCTGCTCTAATCTTGGTTATTTCCTTTCTTTTGCTGGTGTTTGGGTTTGGTTTGTTCTTGTTTCTCTAGTTCCTTGAGGTGTGACCTTAGATCATTTATTTGTGCTCTTTCAGGCTTTTTGATGTGGGCGTTTAGGGCTATGGTCTTAGCACCACCTTAGCTGTATCCTAGAGGTTTTGAAAGGTTGTGTCATTATTGTCGTTCAGTTTGAAGAATTTTTTAATTTCCATCTTGATTTTGTTTTTGACCCAATATTCATTCAGGAGCAGGTTATTTAATTTCCATGTATTTGCATGGTTTTGAAGGTTCCTTTTGGAGTCGATTTCCAGTTTTATTCCACTGTGGTGTGAGAGAGTGCTTGATATAATTTCAACTTTCTTAAATTTATTGAGGTTTATTTTATTGCCTATCATATGGTCTATCTGGGAGAAAGTTCCACGCGCTGTTGAATAGAACGTGTATTCTGCGGTTGTTGGATGAAATGTTCCATATATATCTGTTAAGTCCATTTGTTCCAAGGTATAGTTTAAATCCATTGTTTTTTTTTGTTGGTTTTCTGTCTTGATGACCTGTCTAGTGCTGTCAGTGAAGTATTGAAGCCCTCACTATTATTGTGTTGCGGTCTATCTCATTTCTTAGGTCTATTGTTTTATAAATTTTATAAAATTGTTTTATAAATTTTGGAGCTCCAGTGTTAGATGCATACATGTTTAGGATTGTGATATTTTCCTGTTAGACAGGGACTTTTACCATTATATACCATCCCTCTTTGTCTGTTTTAACCACTGTTGCTTTAAAGTTTGTTTTGTCTGATATAAGAATTGCTACCCCTGCTCACTTTTGGTGTCCATTTGCATGAAATGCCTATTTCTGCCTCCTTTAAGTGAGTCCTTACGTGTTAGGTGAGTCTCCTGAAGGCAGCAGATAGTTGGTTGGTGAGTTCTTATCTGTTCTGCAGTTCTGTATATTTTAAGTGGAGCATTTAGGCCATTTACATTCAATGATAGTACTGAAATGTGACGTACCATTGCATTCATCACGCGCTTTGTTGCCTCTGTAATTTTTTTTTTTTCATTTTGGTGTTTTTGCTTTTTAACTTGTATGTTTGTTTTATAGGTCCTCTGTGATTTATGCTTTAAAGAGGTTCTGTTCTGATGTGTTTCCAGGATTTGTTTCAAGATTTAGAGCTCCTTTTAGCAGTTCTTGTAGCGGTGGCTTGGTAATGGCAAATTCTCCCAGGATTTGTTTGTCTGAAAATGACTGTCTCTTTCCTTCATATATAATGCTTAGTTTCGATGGATTCAAAATTCTTGGCTGATCATTGTTTTGTTTGAGGAGGCTGAAGATAGGTCCCCAATCCTTTCTAGCTTGTAGGGTTTCTGCTGAGAAATCTGCGTTAATCTGATAGGTTGCCTTTATAGGTTACCTGGTGCTTCTGTCTCATAGCTCTTAAGATTCTTTCCTTCGTCTTAATTTTGCATAATCTAATGAAAATGTGCCTAGGCAATGATCTTTTTGCAGTGAATTTCCCAGGTGTTCTTTGTGCTTCTTGTATTTGCATGTCTAGGTCTCTCAAAAGGCTGGGGAAGTTTTCCTTGATTATTCCCCTGAATATGTTTTCCAAGCTTTTATAATTGTCTTTTTCCTCAGGAATACAGATTATTCTTAGGTTTGGTCATTTAACATAATCCCAGACTTCTTGGAGGCTTTGTTCATATTTTCTTATTGTTTTTTCTTTGTCTTTGTTGGATTGGGTTAACTTGAAGACCTTGTCTTTGAGCTCTGAATTTCTTTCCTCTACTTGTTCAGTTCTATTGGTGAGACTTTCCAGAGCATTTCGCATTTCTAAAAGTGTGTCCAAAGTTTCCTGAATTTTTTTATTGTTTTTTCTTTAAGCTATCTATTTCCTTCAGTATTTGGATTTCCTTGCATTGGGCTTTGCCTTTCTCTGGTCCCTCCCTGATTTAACTTAATAACTGACCTCCTCAATTCTTTTTCAGGTAAATCAGGTATTTCTTCTTGGTTTGGATGCATTGGTGGTGAACTAGTGTGATTCTGGGGGGGCACGGGGTCTTGATGAGCTTTGTTTTGTCATATTGCCAGGGTTGGTTTTCTGGTTCCTTCTCATTTGGGTAGGCTCTGTCAGAAGGAAAGTCTAGGGCTGACAGCTATTGTTTATATTTTTTTGTCCCATGGGGTGTTCCTTTGATGTAGTACTCTCCAGCTTTTCCTGTGGATGTGGCTTCTTGTGAGCTGAACTACAGTGATTGTTGTCTCTCTTCTGGGTCTAGCCACCCAGCGAGTCTAACTGGCTCCGGGCTGGTACTGGGGTTGTCTGTACAGATTCCTGTGATGTTAACCTATGGGTTAATCTATGAGTTAATCTATGGGTTAATCTATGTGATGTTAATCTATGGGTTTTTCAGCTGTGGATACCAGCACATGTTCTGGTGGAGGTGGCAGAGGGTGCAATGGACTCCATGAGGGTCCTTAACTTTGGGGTTTAATGCTCTATTTTTGTGCTGGTTGGCCTCCTACCAGGAGGTAGTGATTTCTAGAAAGCATCAGCTGTAGTAGTGTGGAAAGGGACCAGTGGTGGGCAGGGCCCTAGAACTCCCAAGATTATATGTCCTGTGTCTTCCACTAACAGGGTGGGTAGGGAAGGACCAGCAGGTGGGGGCGGGGTTAGTCGTGTCTGAGCTCAGACTCTCCTGGGGCAGGTCTTGCTGTGGCTGCTGTGGGGAATGGGGGTGAGATTCCCAGGTCACTGGAATTGCGTAAATAGTAGGATTATGGTTCCCTCTGCTGAGTCATGCAGGGGTCAGGGAAGTGCGGGAAAGCTGGCACTCACAGGCCTCACCCAGCTCCCATGCAAACTGAAGGGCTGGTCTCACTCCCACTGTGCCCTCCACAATAGCCCTGCATCTGTTTCCAGGTGAAGAGCAAGATGGTTTTGAAAACTTGTCGCAGGCTTTCCACCTCCTAGCTGAGAAAGAAAAGAGCTTTAGTTCTTCCCACGCCTGTGGAGTCTGCACGCTGGATTCGAGCCCCCTCCTGAGTTCTGGCCAGGAGGCTTCTCGCGGGGTTCAAATTGTTACAAAGTTCAGCTACAGAATTCCTTCTCCCTGTGGAGTTTTACCCCCTGCTCCTCAGGCCACCCTCCCAAAGGATCCCTGTGGTGCCAGACAGGAATGGGCTGCTAGGGGACCCAGCAAGCTCCCAGGGCCTTACTGCTGCTTCCTCTCCCCCTGTTTTTCGCTGGGCTCTCCAACTTGACTCTGCTCCAGGTAAAGTCGGAAACTTCTCCGCAAACAGACCTTCAGCTTCTCCAGTGGGAGTGTGTGTTGGGGAGAGGAGGGTCTCCCTTTCCCACTTCCACAGTTGGGGCACTCAGTATTTGGGGTGTCTCCCGGGTCCTGCAGGAGCAGTCTGCTTCCTTCGGAGGGTCTGTGGGCCCTCTCAGGATTGCGGGTTTGTTCTTGCAGTGGATCTGGAGCTAAAATTCACAGTGGGAGCCTCTGCATGCTGCTCTGGTCAGAGTGGCAATCTAGTCCTACCTCCCGTGTGCCATGATCCTGAAATCCTCACAACAGGATGTTAAAGTGAGAATCTTTCTGTTTCAGTTTCGCCACAAACACCCATACAATGGATGTGTCATAACAGAAAGAACAAAGCCAAGGCGATTGACCTGACATTCCAGGGCACAGTCAGCTGTTCATTGAGAAATATGCTGAGAGGCCGAGTCCTGAGTTTTGTAAAGGCTGGGAAAAGGCAGCTTCTAGTGGTTCTGTCAATAAAACATTGAACTCTGGTGCTCTGACTGGGGCAGAACCAAGTTCATTGGTCAGCAGTGTGTCAGGTTGGATGCTGTGGGCGCCTGGCCTCTGAAGGTCACTCGAGGCTCACTGTACAGCTGTCGCTTGCCAGGCAGCCCGAGAGAGTTCTGGCGAGGGCTGCGGGAAGGAAAGGGGGCGGCGTCCTTCACAGGGAGGGTGCAGCTGACCTCCCTCCCCTTGTGCAGACTGGAAAAGAATGGCCCAGATCCTCTGGACTCCTCAGATGAGCGGATTCAGAGAGAAGCTTTTGAGAGCGTGCTGGCGGAGACATTTTTCACAAAAGAGCCCTTGCGGTGCTGGTGTCCGTGGCGTGCCTGGGTGAGAGAGGGCAGCTTTTCCACCAGGCCACCGGGAGTCCTCCCCACCTGTAGCCTAGGCCGGCACCCCCCGGGCTCAGAGCGAGTTGGGGGGGTAAGGGGGGGATGGGGGGGTGGGGGGCCCCCTGCGGCGCCCGCCGCCCACGGTCCCCTGCCCACCCCGGCCGCCCGCCCACGCGCACCCCGCGCCCGCGCTGCCCCGCGGGGGAAACCGAGCGCTGCAGGCGCTTCCTCTTGTGTTTTTCAAACACGAATGCGCCCCAACTGCTCGGAGGCTTCTGGGGAGGCGGCCTGGGGGAGGGAGCGGGTAGCTGGGATCTCCGAAGCGGGACGTCTCCTAGGAGGGGTGCATCCTGGGGCAGCACCCCGCAGCATTGCGGGTGGGGAACGCCTGGAGTTCAGCCAGGTTCGGACAGGGGTGACTTCTATTTATTTATTTATTTATTTGAGCCGCTCTAGTCGCCCAGGCCGGAGTGCAATGGCGGGATCTCGGCTCACTGCAGCCTCTCCCGGGTTCAAGCGATTCTCCTGCCTCAGCCTCCGGAGTAGCTGGGATTGCAGACTCGTGCCACCACGCCCAGCTAATTTTTGTATTTTTGGGAGAGACACGGTTTCGCCATGTTGGCCAGGCTGGTCGCACTCCCGACCTCAGGTGATCCGCCCGCCTCCGCCTCCCAAAGTGCTGGTATTGCAGGCGCGAGCAACCGCGCCTGGCCCGGGTGTGTCTCCTTCCCGAACCTCCGGGCGGCGAACGGGGAAGGGCGAGCGGCTTGGCGGTGGGGACGAGCTCCCCCAGGGTCCTGCGCCGAAGGGAGGCTGGAGGAGGGCCCGAGGACTTGGGGACAGGAGCCGCTGCCCTGGGGCTGCCCTGGCGTCTCCAGCCTGCCTCGCCCGAAGCCTCCTAGCCGGATTAGCGCACCGGCCCGGGGCCTGCCCTGACCCCGGAAGAGCAGAACCCTTAGCTGGAAGGCTTAGGAGGGAGAGGGGGCCAGACCATTGCTTTGGGTTTAGGTCACCTCCGTAGACCATTGCTTTGGGTTTAGGTCACCTCCGCTGCGTGTCTCCCCAGGGATCTCTGGGACCCTAAATGCATTTTGCCTTTGGGGGAGGGCAGGGAAAGACCAATGGGTCTAGGAATACAGTGTGTGCCTAAGATTAGACAATAACGATACAGAGTGTCTAACTGGATGTGAAACTGGGTGTGTAAATACAGGTGAACCAGCGGGGACGGCTCATCGGTGTCCATTGTCTTAGGGGCGTGGCTCGATTCCTGTTTATTGAGCCCAGTCGCCAGAGAGAACCCCCGAGTAGAAGCTGGGAGGGCTGGGATGGGGAGGCCATGAGAGCCACGATGTGATGTCCTGGCATGAGCAGTGACTTTGATACTGAAGATATGTCACCTTGGGGGAAGACTGACTGATGGGCCAGCCTTTCACAAATATGCACCAGTATGGCCTCACTGGCCGTGTTATCACCAACGTTTCTTCTAACTGGCCAGTGCCCAGGATACTTTTACTCTAGGGCTCCCCTCTGTGACCCCCTCCCATCTCCTAGGAGGCACCCTTTCCTGAGTTGGAGCATCCCAAGACACAAGCTGAAGATGACAGCCCAGAGTTGGGTCCCCAGGGGAGAGCCTGTGTCTCTCTGGCCAAAGCCTGGGGAAGCGGAGCCCTCAGCCAGGCATCAGCTCATCAAAGCCATCCAGGAGGACCAGGATGGAGGCCAGGGCTGGGAGGAACACAGGTCCTGGACAGACAAGGATGAGGAGAAATTCTGGGCTTACCTAAGGCAAAGAGAAGAAGGGCCTGGGCATGGAAAGAGGCCCGCTGGGGTTTGCCAGAGACCCTGGTCTGAGAATGCTCTGCCAGGGCATGAGCACACCTCTGCTCTAGAATGTCCCCACCGAGTGGCCTGGAATTCCAGAAATCAAGATCCCCTGGGAGTGTTTTGATGATAGTTGTCATGCTACCTAACGTCTACCTGACATCAGCATGGCTGAGAGGTGGCATAGCAGTTAGGTGTGTGAGTTCTGTAGCCAGAGGGCTTGTGTTTGGCCCTCATTCTGCCACTTACAAATTAAACCTTCTTAGTTAAATGACTACAGCTCCCCACACCTGATTTCCTCATCTGGGAGGATACCCCAAAGGGTTGTATTTAGAATTAGGGTTGTGACATACTGTACTTAGGCAACAGTACACGGACCATAGTAAGGGCTCAACATAAATGTTAGGTTTGTTATTATTATTTTTTATTTTTTTCTTTTCTTTTCTTTTAATTTTTAAAAATTGAGACGGGTCTTACTCTGTCACACCAGGTGGAGTGCAGTGGCACAATCTTGGCTCACTACAGCCTCTGCCTCCCAGGCTCAGGCGATCCTCCCACCTCAGCCTCCCGAGTAGCTGGCACTTCAGGCACGCACCACCATGCCTGGCTAGATTTTTGTATTTTTGGTGGAGACAGGGTTTATCACATTGCCCAGGCTGGTCTCAGACTCCCGAGCTTAAGCGATCCGCTCACCTTGGCCTCCCAAAGTGCTGGGATTATAGGCATGAGCCACTGCGCCTGGCCTAGTTTGTGATTATTGAAAATTAGTTGAATCAGATTGCTGTCTTCTTAATGCACAGTTAATGCTACAGAGAGTGGATTATGAAATTTTCCGGGAAGGTGGTGAAGAAAAGAAGTAGGAGGACGAAGAAAAAAGTAGTTAATTAATGCGTTAGTTAATGCAGGTGTTTGGGGCAGAGGCGATGGTTCTGGAGCATGTGATGAGGTGTCTTTGGACAGCGGAGGCAGCGTAAGGGAAGGTGCTGAGTGCTGGGCAGGGCGGGGAGAAGCATGGCTGCAAGTGAGTGGGGAGAAAAAGGAGCAGCGATTTTGGCTCTAACTGACCTCACTTTTCCTCCCTGACATCAGATGGCCTCTGGAAGCTGTCAGTTGCATTGCTGTCCCCCTGGCAAGCATAGCCTCCTGCCTCCCTGTCACCCAACCTTGTCTAGTGGTCCCTCTGCCCTGCCTGTGAGTGAAGAAGAGAGGAGTCTGCTTCTCAGTCACCCCTTCCTCCCCCGAATTCCCTGGGCTGTACAACAGCCAAGAGCTACTCCTCCTCCCCCAACCCCTCCAACATTCTGCTGGCTCCATCTGAGGAGCTGCTTGTTCTCCTGGAGGATGACAAACTGTCAAACACTCCTCCCCGTGCTCTGTTGCCAGACCCTCCACCATGAGCGCCCTCTCTGAAGCAAATGGCTCCAGCCATCATCTTTTAAAGGAGCCATACGAAGAAAACCCTTCATGCAATGTGCTTTTGTCTGTCCCAAGTGTCTCCTCTGCTCTGGCCATGCTCTTCCTGGGAGTGGAAGGAAATGTGGCTGCCCAAATGGCCCAAGCAAGGAGACCTCCACTGCATAAGGAGGAGGAATTGTTTGTAGCCATTAGAGTTGTTTGCCAGAAATTTCTGGATTTCCTCCCTTCCAGCACATGGTAAGTGATCTGGGTCCATGTGATCTGGGTCCACATTGGTCTGGGTCCATGTCCCCACCCAAATCTCATCTTGAATTGTAATCCAAACTTTAATTCCCACGTGTTAGGGGAGGGACCTCCTGGGAGGTGATTGAATCATAGTGTGGTTCCCCATGCGGTTCTCATGATTGTAAGTTCTCATGAGATGTGATGGTTTTGTGAGGGGCTTTTCCCCTTTTTGCTCTGCACTTCTCTCATTCTCTTCCTGCTGCCATGTGAAGAAGAATGTGTTTGCTTCCCCTTCGGTCATTATTGTAAGTTTCCTGAGGCTTCCCCAGTCATATGAAACTGTGAGTCAATTAAATCTCTTTTCTTTATAAATTACCCAGCATGAGAACAGGTATGTCTTTATTAGCAGCGTAAGAATGGACTAATACAGTAGGATGGTTCTTTTTGGCTCCCTTTTGGGGCTTTGTGACCAGTTCTGGCCAACAAGTTGTGTGTAGAAGTGACACACACTGAAGTATTTAATGGAAAGTTTGAGGTCCTCTAGAATTCTTTTTGTCCCTCTGGCATGACATCAGCAACATACGAGGTGATAGCTACTCTACTTGCTTGGGTCCCCAAGTGTCCCTGCTTATTCATGATGGACTTGTAGCCTGAAGCACAAATGACACCTTGTTATCTGCAACCACTGAGACTTGGGGGATTTTTTGTTACCACAGAGTATCCAGCTTCTCCTGACTGATACAGATTAGATATTTTCTTCCACAGGTTATGGAGCGACTATGCCAGTGCTGCTGGAATAGGAAAGGAAGTGAAAAATGTGTTAGGACTTTGCACACCTGTGATAATTTCTTACATGGCTCATTTTTTTTATATAAACTCAAAGGTTTCATTGCCTTGTGGGAAGGCAGTAGGCTTCGAGTGAGTTGATGAGCTTTTTTTATTTTTTGCTTTATTATTATTTTTTTTCCCAAGATGGAGTCTTGCTCTGTCGCACAGGCTGGATTGCGGTGGCGTGATCTCAGCTCACTGCAACCCCCACCTCCTGGGTTCAAGCAATTCCCCCGCCTCAGCCTCCCAAGTAGCTGGGATTAAAGGCACGCGCCAGCATGCCTGGCTAATTTTTGTATTTGTCGTAGAGATGGGGTTTCACCATGTTGGCCAGGCTGGTCTCGAACTCCCAACCTTGTGATCCACCTGCCTTGGCCTCCCAAAGTGTTGGGATTATAGACGTGAGCCACCGCGCCCAGCCCTATGAGCTTTAAAGTCCACGTACTGCCTCTGATTCACTGTGGAATCTTTCCTAAGCCACGTAACTTCTCAGAGCCTTATAAAAGAGAGAAAATATCAGCTTGGCCTATCACACATGAGGTGTTTGTAATCCAGCAAAATATGCATGTGAAAGTGCTTTATAAACTGTTATATATATATAAACAAATATATATAAAATATATTTGTCTAGTAGCAAGAAAATGTTGGCTGTATCTCTGGAGAATTTTCTAGCTCAAAAAATTTCCGTGATTGCATAAGAGTACGTTCAAGGTAATGAATCCAACTTTTACACTGGAAACTCATATTGTAGATGGAGAAAGTGTGCCTGACCTGAGAAATAATTCTAACTATGGGCAATCATACACTGTAGGTGACAACTTCAGGACTCTGAGGACCTTCTGCCTAATTTGAAAATGATGCAGTTTTGAGAGTCCTCTCTTGGATGCCATCTCTGCTGGGATGCTCCTGTGTCCTGTCTTTTGGAACTGGGGATTCTACTTGACAAACCTTCCTTGTCCCATCAACTTGCTTTCCCTCCCCCAGATGAGCAACTTCCCTGTCCCTCCTTTCCCTTTGCAAATTCCATCCTGTGTGTCATGGAATTGTAGGAAGTCAGAGCTGAATGGATACTAGAGACTACCCAATCCAGGGGTTCTCAACTTTAGCTACATTAAAAAAATCGCTGGGGGAGCTATTAATTCTTTTTAGACCTTGATATTTTCTCTTTTTTCAGTGTACTCATTGCAGTGTTTGCATTTTTGTCTTGCATGTAGTTTTAATAGTCAATATAATTAAATCAATAAAAAGAAAATTATGTATACACATGAGGTCAGTTCTCTTTGGCCTCCCAGATACAGTAGTGAGCATGA
The DNA here is from genome assembly GCF_000001405.40 of Homo sapiens. NCBI lineage: Eukaryota > Metazoa > Chordata > Mammalia > Primates > Hominidae > Homo > Homo sapiens. Next base: position 2,870,690 of record NC_000006.12, on the reverse strand, counting down.
ATGGGACAATTTTAAAGACTGCTCTTGTATTAAAAAACAAACAAAAATCCCACTGAGAGGTGACAACGTGCTAGCAGCCCTCGCTCGCTCTGGGCACCTCCTCAGGACACGGCATCCACTCTGACCGCGCTTGAGGAACCCTTCAGCCCGCCGCTGCACTGTGTGAGCCACTCTCTGAGGTGGCCAGGCCAGAGCCGGCTCCCTCTTACCGGGAAGTGTGGAGGGAGAGGAGAGGTGTAGAGGGAGAGGCGCAGGTGGGAACCGGGACTGCGCGCCACACTCACAGGCCAGCATGAGTTCCAGGTGGGCGCAGGCGTGGGCGGGCTCAGCAGGCCCTGCACTTAGAGCGACCAGTAAGGGGCTTCGTACCCGGGCCAGCAGCTGCGGAGGGCGTGCTGGGTCCCCCAGCACTGCTGGCCCCCCCAGCACTGCTGGTCCGAGCGCGCCGCGCTAGAATTCTCGTTGGGCCTCCCCACAGGGCAGGGCTCAGGACCTGCAGCCCGCTATGCCCCAGCCCCCCGACCCCGGTGGTGGGCTCCCGCATGCGCCCAAGCCTCCCTGCTGGGCGCCGCCCACTGCTCCGCGGCGCCTGGTAGCATCCACTGCCCAAGGGCTGAGAAGTGCAGGTGCCTGGTGCCGGACTGGCAGGCAGCTCAGCCAAAGCAGCGGAATCCACTAAACAAAACCACCTAGGCTCCTGAGTCCAGTGGGTACTTGGAGAACTTTTATGTCTAGCTAAAGGATTATAAATATACCAGTCAGCACTCTGTGTCTAGCTCAAAGTTTGTAAACACACCAATCAGCAGCCTGTGTCTAGCTCAAGCTTTGTAAACGCACCAATCTGTGCTCTGTGTCTAGCTAATCTAGTGGGGACTTGCAGAACCTTTATGTCTAGCTAAAGGATTGTAAATACACCAATCAGCACTCTGTGTCTAGCTCAAGGTTTGTAAACAGACCAATCAACACTCCGTGTCTAGCTCAAGGTTTGTAAACACACCAATCAGTGCTCTGTATCTAGTTAATCGAGTGAGGACTTGGAGAACTTTTATGTCTAGCTAAAGGATTGTAAATGCACCAATCAGCACTGTGTCTAGCTCAGGGTTGTAAATGCGCCAGTCAGCACCCTGTCAAAACGGACTAATCAGCTTTCTGTAAAATGGACCTATCAGCTCTCTGTAAAATGGACCAATCAGCTCTCTGTAAAATGGACCATTAGCAGGAGGTGGGTGGGGCCAGATAAGGGAATAAAAGCAGGCTGCCTGACCTAGTAGCACAAACTGCTGAGTTTGTTTTCTGTGTTGGGGTTTTTGATTTTTTTTTTTTACGTTCTTCAGGCTAAACTGTGGTGCGTTTTGTTTTTTGATTCTTGGGCTCTGTGTTTTTAGGAGCTGTAATACTTCACATGAAAGTTTGTGGGTTAACTCTTGAAGCTGATGAGGCCATGAACTAGCTAGCAGAAAAAATTGTGCCTATCTGAATGTCAAAAGGAATAAGCTCTGGGTGTCTTTATGTCTTTCTTAAGAACTGTAACGCTCACTGTGAGGTTTTTGTGGCTTTTTTTGCTTAATTTAGGTGTGATCAAGAATCCACAAATTTCAGACATTACTTTCCACTGAAGCTTAATTATTTTAGATCGGAGCCTAAGCATTGGTGTTTAAAACTTTCTCAGGTGGTTTTAGTTACCTTCTGGGGTTGAATCAAATCTGGCTCTAAGTGGTTTTCTGTATGGGCAATATTAGAATTGTTAGGATTCGTGAGACCTCTGAATTTTCAAGCCCCATCTGAGACTTCAGGAATTTTGAGAATGGGCATTTCCGGGTGAGTGATTCTGATGCATGCACTTACCTAGCCCAACCCCTCATGTCACGGGTGGTAACAAAGCTGAGAGCCTAACTTGTTACTTCTAATTCCAGCCGAGGTGGAGTAACAAGTATCAAGAGTTATCCTCCCATTGTTATTAACCGTAAACTGGACAATGTATACGAAACAACTGGTGGGTTGGTTTGGATCTTGTGGAAGCTTGGTTTTTATTAGATAATAGTTTAGAATAATCTTCTAGGGCTATACTAGCCCTAGTCCTGAGGCCTGAGATCTCTGGACTCTCAACTACATGCTGAAATGTCTAGCATATTTTAAAAAGTTATTAAACCTACGTAGTGTAAGTATGACCCATAACCAGGAAAAAGTCAATAAAAACACACGAAAGTGAGACAAATGTTAAAATTAACAAAGACTGCAATGCAACTCTTAGAAATATGTTAAAGGATTTAAGGAGTAGATGGCATAGCGAGTGAACAGATAGAAAACCTCAACAGAAAAATAGAAACTTAAAAATTACTGGGAGGCTGAGGTAGGAGAATGGCGTGAACCCAGGACGCGGAGCTTGCAGTAAGCCGAGGTTGCGCAACTGCATTGCAGCCTGGGCGACAGAGCGAGACTCCATCTCAAAAAAAAAAATTCTGAAACATTTAAAATGAAACATTTGGCAGATGAACTTAATATTGGATTGGACATTTTAAAAAATCAGTGAATTATATACATTACTTTTTACCCCTAAATACGTTTTTATATACCCCTAAATGTGCATTTTTTATTTTTTAAAAGGGCATTTTCCTATGTAACCGTAATACCTCATACTTATTAAAATGAACAATTAGTTTGTCATACTGAATCCATATTCAAATTTTCCAGCGGTCTTGGAGATACTTTTATAGCTTGTTTATTTGAGCAAGAATCCATTCAAGGGTTATGCATCAAATTTCATTGTGATGTTGCTTAAAATTCTTTTAATCCAGAACACCACCTCAGCATTGTGTCTCCTTCATTTTCTGACACATTGATTTAAGAGCTCATTCTTGTACAATATCCCACGAACAAGGTTGCCAGTGGTATTCATTTTAGTCGATTTCAGCCAGAATAGGGTTGGGAGAAGAAAAGATGCATGAAATAAAGTATTTCTGGATCTTCATGTTTTTAGCTGCTAAATCAGAGCTCTCGTGCCTATGCATATTTCATGCAACAGAAAATCGCCTGGGCTTTGTTAAATGTCAATACATCTCTCTGGCATCATTTATAATGGCTACCTTGTGATCCATTAGGTAACTTAACCATAATGTATTATTCAATCATGTAAAAACAGACATTCCAGCTATTTATATTTTTACCATTACAGATATCACTTTGATAATTTGATGGGAGGAAAATTGCACGTCATTATTTAAATTTTCATTTATTAGTCACCCATACTTCTTTTAGAATTAGCCTATTTTTATTTGCCTACTTTTGTCCTTGGGATATTCATTTTTTTGTCTTGCAGTTTTTAAGCACTCTCTACCAATAGATTTTTCTTAATGTTATATACATATCGCAAGATAATTCCCGTGCTTTTAATTTACATATTAGTGTTATTAATATTTTAAGTAAAGAACTTTTTTTATTTAAATAGTCCACTTTAGTATTTTTTTTGTTTTCTTCCTCCAGAGTCTTGCATAGAAAGTCTTCTTGACACTCAGATTATATAAATATTCACTTGTCTTTTTCCTTAGAGCTTTTATAATTTTGTGTTTTTGCATTAACTCATTTGGAACTTGTTTTAGACTAACATGAGAAGTTTAATTTTTAAGGTAATAAGTTTTATTGTGTGTATTAAAAACACTGAGGCTGGGCATGGTAGCTTACACCCGCAATCCCAGCACTTTGGGAGGCCAAGGCAGGAAGATGGCTTGAGCCCAGGAGTTCAAGACCAATCTAGGCAAGTAAGACCAGTAAGTCAAGCCTAATGAAGCCATGAGTGATAAGAAAAAGGCATTATGAACTTAGCAACACTACCAGTAAGTGGGAGTAAAGACCTTTAAGAGGTTTTTTTCCTCACACCAATCAGTTCTTTGACACCAACTGGGTGTCCAACAATTCAATTCAATTCTGACAGTACTTAACGTCCAGTTAGAGGGCTCAGCCCCCAAGACTACCCCCTCTTCAGACACCTGTCACAAATGGGGTGCCCAGGCTCTTCACACTGCTGCCCGGCCAAGTACAAATTTGGGGATTCCCATAACCTCCCTCAGGCTTAATAATTTACTAGAATGACTCACAGAACTCAAGAAAGCACTTTATTATTATCACCAGTTTATTATAAAGGCAGAAACAACCAGTGGAAGAGATGCAGAGAGCAAGTTAAGGGGGGTCGGGGGTGCGTGCAGAGAGCTTCCATTCCCTCTCTAGACACTCCACCCTCTCAGCACCTGTCTGTTCATTAACCCACATGCTCCCTCAACCTGGTCTTTTTGATTTTTATGGAGGTTCCATTACATAGGTGTTATTGATTAATTCACTGGCCATTGGTGGCTGAACTCAATTCCCAGCCCTTCTTCCCTCCCCAGGGGATCACCAAGAGCCGCCTCATCAGCATAAGCTCAGGTGTAGCTAAAGCGGCTCATTTTGAATAGCAAAACACACTCGCATTACTCAGGAAATTCCAAGGGTTTTAGGAGCTCTGTGCCGGGAACTGGGGATAAACACCAGATATATTTTTTATTATATCACGAACCTAAATGAAAGTAACCTCTTAGGAAGCTTGAAAAGGGATGAAAATAGCTAGTTAGGAGTTGTCGACTGACAGGAAGAAGCTGAGGCAAAATTAATATGAGAGTTTATTTGGGTCAGGGTTGAGAACAGCTGCTTGGGAAACACTTCCAAGTTGTCTTGGGAAGTGCCCAGAGAACAAAGGATGAATCAGGAGAGGAGGCAATTACCAACATTGTTGGTTAAGAATTCTCATTGGTTTACAGAAATAACATTGATTAGTGATTGGCTATAGTTGAACTATAGGGTATAAGTTATGTTGTCCAGCATATGCCGTCGTTAGGTTAATTTATAGCTATTGGTGGTGGCATTGGGTCAAGAGTCCACATAGCAGGCAGATTACATACATACATAGCTCAAGCAGTGAGTGAGATGTGACTACTGTCACATTTCAATGCCTGTCTGGACCTGATGACTTAAAGGGGTTCATATTCCTCAGATAAAAAGTTTCCTTTCTGGCCCGGACTGGTGGCTCACACCTGTAATCCCAGAAATTTGGGAAGCCAATGTGGGAGGATCACTTGAGGCCAGGAGTTTGAGACCATCCTGGGCAACCTAGTGAGACCTTGTCTCTACAAAAAATAAATAAAATTAGCCGGGCGTGATGGCACACGCCTGTAATCCCAGCTACTCAGGAGGCTGAAGTAGGAGGTTTGCTTGAGCCCAGGAGGTCGAGGCTGCAGTCAACTGAGGTTACACCACTGCACTGCATCCTGGGTGACAGAGTGAGATCCTGAGAAAGAAAGAGAAGCAGAGAGGAGGGGAGTGCAGGGGAGGGGAGGGGAAGGGAAGCGGGGAGGGAGGGAGGAAGGAGGGAGAGCGAGTGGAAGGGAGGGAGGGAAAGAAAGATTCCTTTCTTCTTCAGAGACAAATGCTCAGTGAGTTCTATCCTACGTGTTGCAAGGTGAAGGGAGGGGGGTCACAAAATCACGACAGAATCCCATCTTCAAGGAGCTTAAAATCTGGTCATGGAATACAATGGACAAATGGGCCGATTATTTTACGACTGACCCTCCCCACAACAGGCTGCCCCGTCTCCATTTGGTTATGCCTGGTCCGTTGCTGCTGTTGCCCTCTCTTCTCAACACTCTGGGATTGTTGGTAGCTGACTCTCTCATCAGGACAATTTTTAGGGTTTTCATTTCTCAGAAAAGTTGTTGACTATGGAGAAACAAGAAAGATTGTGGCAATGAATACAATTCTCATTCCTATGAAGGCATAAGAAGGATGGGTCTTTCCCCCAAAACTTTAAAGAATCTTGCCAGAAATTGTATCAGGCCAAGCCAGAGGGGCCGTCCTTTGCAGAGGCTGCAGCGGTGTCCCTGCAACACACACAATTGCTTAGGTGGTGAAAGCGACAGAGGGTGGGGTCTTTAATTTTTATGTTTTCTGTTGTTAACAGCATTGTACTTTATAAAGGACAGAAATTTATTTCCACAACTATTTCTACTACATATAAATTGGTATGTGGTAGATAAGAAAATTATTAGGTAAGGAAAAGCAATCAATTTTTAATTATTCTGGGAGACAAAAAACAAAAAACTTTAGAACAATAGTCATCAGCAAATGATTTCTTTTCTTTTTTTTTTTTTTTTTTTTTTTTGAGACAGAGTGGGCTCACTGCAACCTCCGGCTTCTGGGATCAAGCAATTCTCCTGCCTCAGCCTCCCGAGTAACTGGGATTACAGTCATGCACCACCACGCCCAGTTAATTTTTTTGTGTATTTTTAGTAGAGACGGGGTTTCACCATGTTGGCCAGGCTGGTCTCAAACTCCTGTCCTCAAGTGATTCACCCGCCTCGGCCTCCCAAAGTGTTGGGATTACAGGTGTGAGCCACTGCACCCAGCCCAAACATTTCTTTAGTTATCTCTTACTAAATGATGGAGGAGGCATATGCCTTACATAGCTCAGGGCATGGCGGCCAAAGAATCCACTGGTATTTGGAGCAGTTTCTTCCAGTTCAGCTTAGTTTAACAAACATGTAGGAATGTTGACTTTGGCCCAGGCCCTGGGGATATAAAGATGAAAAGGTAATTCTGCCCTGTAAACTCTTTGGGCAACTGGGAGTGATCCTGTATTCAGTGTGTCAAGTCCACCTCCCCTTGGGGAGCCTTAAGAAGCCTCAGCCTGGGGGGATCATGTATGGCCTTCCTCCTAGGAGATGTGTTTGGATGATTAAATCCACGAGTGTATCTCAGTCCTTGGTGCAATGCCTGGGGCCGGATAGGTCCAGCGAGGTTGGATGTCGGCATGTAATCCCAGATACCCCACCTTCCACAGCTGTGCATCAGTGTTTCAAAGGAAAGTGATCTACACAGTTTTATTAAATAAACAACAGCAGCAACTTGTGTGTGGGGTAGGGAGTCTTAAAATCAGCAAGGTAAGGATAGAACGATGTCTCCATGTCTATCTGTGCAGAAACTGTCTTGAAACACTAGGACACTGTCATGGGCTGGATTGGGTTGTTCTTCACTCCCCTCAATTCATATGTTAAATTCCTAACCTCCAGTATCTTGGAATGTGACTGTATTTGGAGACAGGGTTTTTACAGGGGTAATTAAGGCAAAATGAGGTCATTAGGTCACCCAATATGACTGGCGTCCTTATAAAAGGGTTAATTTGGACACGGACACATACAGAGGGAAAACACTAAAGAGCTATAGAGAGAGGAGGGCCATCTGCAAGTTAAGGAGGGAGGCCTGGAACATATTCTCCCTCTGAGTCCCAAGAAGGAACCCACCTTACTGACACCTTGATCTTAGACTTTCAGCCCTCAGAAATGAGACAATAAATACCTTTCTGTTGTTTAAGCTGCCCAGCCTAAAGTACTTTGTTATGTATGGCAGCCCTAGACAGTTAATACAAATATTAATATCAACAATTCGTCACAATGATTCCTTTTGGGTTTTTAAATGCAAATGAGTGCCTAAACACCAGAGATGATTTTCTCTTTAGCTGAATCATGTGAGTATTCTGAGTCAAGTTTATATTTTTAATAAGTTAAAACATTTTGCCTTCCCCTTTCCGTCATCTGGTTGTGGTCATCTGATTTGAATAACATCTGCTTTCTTTTAGAATGAGAACAAAGCCGTTACACTCATATATAAAATACCTTCTCACCACCTGTTTTGGGGGATTAATGGTAGTTTAAAAATTAAGTGCAACTCAAGTTGTGGCCAAGCAAGGCCGACTGACTTCCTGAGATGTTAGGATCCTGTTCTTGGGGCCACCTCATTTGTTTGCATGGCTCCAGGGGACACCTTTCACATTGGGTATGACTGGAGCATCATCCTTGAAGGTGGGTGACTCTGCAGCCCTGCCTACCCTCTGGTGACATCTGAAGTGTTGTTGACATCAGCTTTAATTCAGAGGAACTCTACACAAATGTCTTGGGTACTCCTGTGTGCTGAATACTGTGGGAAGACCATTCTTCAAGGACTTTATGATCCACTCCAAAGGTGGAAAGGCAAGCCCACCTTCAATATGACATAGAACATGGTAACAAAATAGATGTGTAAAGCACTTTTGCTACTTAGAAACACTTTAGATCCATTTGACTATTTGATTTTTTCTAGCTTTCTTGAGGTATAGTTGACAAACAAAAATTGTATACATTTGCAATGTACAATGTGATGTTTTGATATATGTCTTAGTCCATTTTGTGCTGCTATAACAGAATACCACAGACTAGGTAATTTATAAAGAACAGAAATTTATTTCCTCACAGTTCTGGAGGCAGGGAATCCAAGATTGAGGGTCTGGCATCTGGTGAAGGCCTTCTTGCTGCCTCGTCCCATGGTGGAAGGTGGAAGGCAAGAGAGGATGAGAGACAAAAGAAGGCCCAAATTGTCCTTTTATAAGGAATCCACTCCCCAGATAAATGCATTAATCCATTCATATGGGCAGAGCCCTCATGATCTGATCACCTCTTAAAGGTCTCACCTCTTAATACTGTTACAGTGGTAATTAAATTTCAACATGAGTTTGGGAGGGAACAAACATTTAAACCATAAATACAGATACATTGTGAAATGATCACCATAGTCAAGCAAATTAACATATCCTCCACATTTACTTATCATTTGTGTATGTGATGAGAACATTCAGGATCTACTCTTAGCACATCTCAAGCATACATTCTCATGAACTTTCATAGCCATGCTGTACCTTAGATTTCCAAAATGTGTTAACTTTGAGTACCTTAAACTTTTTGAGGTAGTCTGTCACGCAGGCTGAAATGCAGTGGTGTGATCTCAGCTCACTGCTACCTCCCCCACCTGTGTTCAACTTATCTTTCCACTTCAGCCACTCAAAGTACTGAGATTACAGGTGTGAGCCAGAATGCTCAACCCATAATTCAAACTTTATACCCTTTTGTGACCGGGAATTGGTGGGGTTTTGGTCTCACTGACTTCAAGAACAAAACCGCAGACCCTCATGATGTGTTATAGCACTTAAGGTGGCACATCTGGAGTCTGTCCTTTATTGATGTTCAGATGTATTTGGAGTTTTTTTTTTCTGGTGGGTTCACGGTCTTGCTGGCTCAGGAGGCAAGCTGCAGACCTTCGTAGTGAATGTTACAGTTCTTAAGGCAACGCATCTGGAGTTGTTAATTCACTCCTGGTGGCCTCATGGTTTCACTGTGCTTAGGAGTGAAGTTGCAGATCTTCACCGTGACTGTTACAGCTCACAAAAGCAGTGTAGACCCAAAACGAGCAACAGTAAGATTTATTGCAAAGCGAGAGAAAAGAGGAAGGGAGGGGGAGGAAGGGAGAGGAAAGAGAGAAGAAGAGAAGGAGAAGGGGGAAGAAAAGAAAAGAAAAGAAAAGAGAAAGAAGAAGAAGAAGAAGAAGAAGAAAAAGCTGCCACAGTCTGGAAGGAGATCTGAGCAGGTTGTCAATGCTGGCTCGGGCAGCCTGCTTTCATTCTCTTATCTGGCCCCACCCACATCCTGCTGATTGGTAGAGCCTAGTGGCCTGTTTTGTCAGGGCGCTGATTGGTGCGTTTACAATCCCTGAGCTAGATACAAAGGTTCTCCACGTCCCCATCAGATTAGTTAGATACAGAGTTTGGACACACAGGTTCTCCAAGGCCCCACCAGAGCAGCTAGATACAGAGTGTCAATTGGTGCATTCACAAACCTTGAGTTAAACACAGGGTGCTAATTGGTGTGTTTACAAACCTTGAGCTAGATACAGAGTGCCGACTGGTGTATTTACAATCCCTGAGCTAGACATAAAGGTTCTCCACATCCCCACCAGAGCAGCTAGATACAGAGTGTTGATTGGTGCATTCACAAACCTTGAGCTAAACACAGGGTGCTGATTGGTGTATTTACAATCCCTGAGCTAGACATAAAGGTTCTCCAAGGCCCCACCAGAGCAGCTAGATGCAGAGTGTCGATTGGTGCACTCACAAACCTTGAGCTAGACACAGGGTGCTGATTGGTGTGTTTACAATCCCTGAGCTAGATATAAAGACTCTCCACATCCCCACCAGACTCAGGAGCCCAGTTGGCTTCACCCAGTGGACCCCACACTGGGGGTGCAGGTGGAGCTGCCTGCCAGTCCCGCACCGTGCGCTCGCATTCCTCAGCCCTTGGGTGGTCGATGGGACTGGGCGCTGTGGAGCAGGGGGTGGTGCTTGTCGGGGAGGCTCGGGCCGTACAGGAGCCCATGGAGTGGGTGGGAGGCTCAGGCATGGCGGGCTGCAGGTCCCGAGCCCTGCCCCGCGGGAAGGCAGCTAAGGCCCGGCGAGAAATCGAGCGCAGCGCCGGTGGGCTGGCACTGCTGCGGGACCCAGTACACCCTCCGCAGCCGCTGGCCCGGGTGCTAAGTCCCCCATTGCCCGGGGCCAGCAGGGCCGGCTGCTCCGAGTGCGCGGCCCGCCAAGCCCACGTCCACCCGGAACTCCAGCTGGCCAGCAAGCGCTGCACGCAGCCCCGGTTCCCGCTCGTGCCTCTCCCTCCACACCTCCCTGCAAGCTGAGGGAGTGGGCTCCAGCCTTGGCCAGCCCAGAAAGGGGCTCCCACAGTGCAGTGGGGGGGCCGAAGGGCTCCTCAAATGCCACCAAAGTGGGATCCCAGGCAGAGGAGGTGCCGAGAGCAAGAGAGGGCTCTGAGAACTGCCAGCACGCTGTCACCTCCCACTTTGACCAACGTCTCCCCATTCCCGTGTTCCCCAGCCCCAGGCAAGCCGCTTTCTACTCTCTGCTTTCATGAGTTCTAGTTTAGATTCCAGATATCAATGAAATCATTCAGTATTTGTCTTTCTGTGCCTGGGCCTGGTTTATTTCACTTAGCATAATGTTTTCTAAGTTCATCCATGTCGAAAATGACAATTTTTTTTTAAGATTGGATAATATTCCACCAGATATATGTATACCACACTTTCTGTAGCCATTCATTCATGGACAGACACTTGGCTTGTTTTCATATCTTGGCCATTGTGAATAGTGCTCCAATGAACATGGGAGTGTAGATACCACTTCAAGGTAAGGATTTCATTTCCTTTGGAGATATACCCAGTAGTGAAATTGCTGGATCATACGGTAATTCTATTTTTAATTTTTTGCGGGACTTCCATACTGTTTCCCTGAATGCTTGTACTAATTTAAATTCCCAGCAACAGTGTGCAGGTGTTCCCTTCCTCCACATCTGGACCAGCCCTTGTTATCTTACTTGTTTTTTTTTAAATTTATTTATCATGTTATTTGATTTTTAGAACAACTCTAAGCCATGGACAAAGCGGAAGCCATTACCTTCCTTTCACAAATGAGGAATGGAGGACAAAGGTTTAGAAACCTTTGTCCACTAGACACTTGACACTAGACACTTGTCTAAGATCACACAGATAGGAGACTTAAATTTAGATGTTTGATGACGCAGAGATACAGACAACAGGAAGAGGATGGAGGTTAAACCCAAAAGCTCAAGCAAAGGGCTGCTGAGCTGAGCATCTGTGAGGCTGTACTACACTGAAGGGCCTGCATGAGCGACGGTGTGGAGGGAGAAGACCCATAAGACAGTTACCAGAGGGACCAGCCCAGACAGAGAAGGGGCAGGGGACAGAGCCATTCAGCTGGAGCCATACTGAAGAGGAGTTGGAACTTTTTCCAGGGCCATCATTTATGATCAGTGGAGTCACATGATCTCCTTGGAGGCTGGGACACTGCTTAATCCTTTCTCATCTCCCCAGAACCTAACCTGATATTTGGCACTGTAATAGAAAGTGCACAACAAATGTTTATTGTCCAAACCAGCGGGGATCTCTGGCTCCGAGGATGATCTGGCAGCAGAAGGAGGCTGGTTTGGGTGTGGGGAAGAGGTAGGGTGGGTCAAACAGAGGTGGGGCCATGAGAAAGGGGCATTCACTCAGAGAACCACTGTCAGCTGGAGAAAAACAAAATGAAACCAAACTATTTTTCCCAGGCCTTGAGGCAGAACTTTCTTTTTCTAGAAGCCAGATGAAAGAAAGAAGAGACCAGGCATGGTGGCTTATGCCTGTAATCCCAGCACTTTGGGAGGCTGGGGTGGGCAGATCACAAGGTCAAGAGATCAAGACCAGCCTGACCAATATGGTGAAACCCCATCTCTACTAACATTACAAAAATTAGCCAGGCATGGTTGCGTGTGCCTGTAATCCCAGCTACTCGGGAGGCTGAGGCAGGAGAATTGCTTGAACCCGGGAGGCAGAGGTCGCAGTGAGCCCAGATCCCGCCACTGCACTCCAGGCTGGGAAACAAAGCAAGCCTCTGGCTCAAAAAAAAAAAAAAAAAAAGTACAGGAAGCAGAGAGGGGGTGAGAGGAAGGGAGAAACAGGGTGGAAGGGGGAGGGGGAGGGAGAGGGGGAGACAGGAAGAGGAGCAAAGATAGCAATTCTTAAGGCCTGTTATCTATTAGTTACCCTTGCCTTGGCGGCAGACACAGCTGAGTCCTAACGCAGACTTTTCCATATCCCCTCTCCCGCCTCAACAGTGATCTCTCCTCCCACTTCGAGAGTTAATTCAGTGCTGCTTTAGCTTTACGCCCCCATGAAAACAGGAAAACGGTTTGCAGCTTTATCATAACCTTGCTTATGTCTGTTGTTGTATGTCTCAAATACCCTGTCCTCAGGAAGGCCCACCAACGCTGGCCGGCCTCCAAGCACCCGGGCCTCTGCTCATGTACAGCTCCTGAACTGCCCTGCCTCTGAGTTACTGTAAGTCCCCGCCCACTCGAGAGCACACGACCAGTCTCACCCCCAATTTTAAAATGGCAGCCCCCTTGCCTTTATTTATAGACAGGTGCTTTCCAATCCTTAAGTGATTTTTTAGTGAACAGGTCATAAAGTTTCCTGTCATGGCATGAGGTGGAGGGGACAGCCCTCAGAGAGGGGTGTGGGGACCGTGGCTGGCGGTCACATCACACCGGCCTCTCCCGCCTGCAGCCTTGCCCTTTGCAGATGACTCAGGTGGGGAAAGCTCAGAAGGAAAGCCACCAAGTCCGGATGCCCCACCCCACACGCAGAATCTAGCTTCTCAGGGAAAGCAAGAAGGGGATGCTTCAGGGGACTTTGCTGAGGCCAACCTTTGGCATCTTTTTTGAAAAGACATTTGTGTCCGTTTGCTCATTTTTTTCATGATCAAGGAGGGTCCTCCCAGGCTGCCCTTGGCGGACCCCTTTCCTTGTACCCCGTCCACCTTGTCCTCTGGCTTCCAGCGGGTCCACTCCTCTTTCCTGCTTCCTAAACCTCGCCCAGAGCCTGCGACCCTCTCACCCTGGCCCAAACTCCCAGACACAGATTTGCAGCAGCGCAGCCAATGATGTTTTCTTTATGTGACTTCCTGGGACACTGCTTAGTGCCTCCTCCCATGTCTTCCTTGGGCTGCAGCATCTCTCAGGGCTCACAGAGGCCCCTCTAACTCCAAGGGGACTTCTTGGTCTGTTTCACAGGCCAGGAGACGGTGTTCGGATACATCCCCGCTGTATGTTTCATCCATGGCAGTCTGGCCTTCCCATGAAGAGCCTCTGTGTGAGCAAATTGAAAATAGGGCTTCTTGCCCCAACCTTCCATGGAAATGGCTATGGTTTCAGTCTCCATAAAGGTTACTTGCTCTTTTTCTGAAAATCCAAAAGGACAGTGTTAACTCTTTGTACAAATTGCACTGGCCATTTGGTCTTAGCGCAAACTTTTTGGACCATGTTTCATTTTCGTTTTGAGGTGAAAGAAAATATCAAAGCCTCCTAGCATTTTGAAACTCCTCAAATATCAAGTGCAAAACTGCTGATGGGATCAAAGATGCCGGCTAAATTCTTGGCCAATAAGATAAGACTCTTTCCTGTCAACTGACAAGCAATACATGAATATGTGCAGGGTAGCTGATAATCTATGAAATTATCGGCTGGGTACAGTGGCTCACGCCTGTAATCTCAGCACTTTGGGAGGCCAAGGTGGGTGGATCACCTTAGGTCAGGAGTTCGAGACCAGCCTGGCCAACATGCTGAAACCCTGTCTCTACTAGAAATACAAAAATTAGCCAGGCATGGTGGCAGGCACCTGTAGTCCCAGATACTTGGGGAGGCTGAGGCAGGAGAATGGCTTGAACTCGGGAGGTGGAGCTTGCAGTGAGCCAAGATCGTGCCACTGCACTCCAGCCTGGGCAACAGGGTGAGACTCCATCTAAAAAAAAAAGAAAAAAAAGAAATTACCACCAATTACTAACTAGTAACTAATAAGTTACTTGAAATGAACTTGATCCTTGTCTTAAACCAGTGGTGGGGTACAGGAAACTTGAAGATTCTTGAGCTGCAGCCCTGTTTTGATTTGTAGTTTTTGTTGCAATATACACCTCTCTACTAGGCACAGGTGACACATGGGAGCTTGTGTCGACATGTGGGAGCCCTGTACAGGGTCCAGACCTTGAGGTGCCAGGCAGCAGAGCCTGTGGCTGGGAATGGGGGTGCGTGGGGCTTATCTTGGGCCTCACATAGGGCCTCAAAGTTAAAATGTTGAAATTATTTCCTAGTAATCTTACTATACTTAGAGTCACAGAGACAGATACACTGAAAAGACGGACAGAAATTACTTTAATGATAAAAGTTAAGCTCATGTTCCATGAAAGAAATGCCATAAGAATGTTTTCTAAATCCTATGCTTAACTTCGGAATAGCGCAATTAGATTGCATTGCATTTTTGAAAGATCACTTGTTAAATACAAAATTTTAAAACATACCACAATATTTGGCACTTCATTTTCTTTATTAAACAAGGAGACTCAGAAAATCATAGTGGCCTGGGCCCATGTGAACCTCTGTGAAAGCCTCCCACAGGGAGAGAGGACTGGGATGCCATGGTCCTAGGTGGGAATGGGGGGAGCAGTGTAGGCCTCGGTGCGGACCCAATGCTGGGGCCCTAAGGCTCTCTCCTCTTTTCTTCCAGGTGGAAAATGAGCTTATATATGAAGAAGTCAGCGAGTGGACAAAGCCAGGCGCAATGGATAGCAAAGATGTGGAAGTCTCCTCGATTCAAGTTACAAGAAAACCGCAGCATGGAGTCTGCTCTCAGCTGTTGGGGAATTACCGATGCCTTTGACTAAGTCAAGACTGACTTTTCCAGAATATCACCCAAGAGATAGAGCCGTCCCTGTCCAAGTTTGTGCGCTAGCCCTTCATGGAGGTCAGAGAGGAAGAAACAAAGGCAGCTGTGGCCTCGGCGGTCACAGTGTCAGAACGCACAAGCCCCATAAAGAGGTTTCACGCAGGCCACCCATCCCTTTTCATTCTCCAGCAGAACAGGACAGAGAGCGTTCTGTTCTGCGGAAGGTCTTCCACTCTACAAGGCAATCCCTCCAGCTGCTTTGCTGTATTGTGCTGTCTCCTGTCACACTATGAATGCAGTGACCTCAGCCAGCAACAGGGAGAACCCCCCTGCCTCCCGAACAAAGGACCTCACGTGAAATCCTGAGCTCAGAGCTTACAGATATGTGTGCGCTTTCACTTTACATCGGCCGTGACTTCCAAACAACTTCAGGAAACTTTAGGATCTCTGAGGTATACTGGAGATGACAGCAGCGTAGAATGTTCATTTGGATTTAGAACAGAAATGCTTATTTTATATTTGGCTGCTCCCAAACTGTCCCCAGACTTCCTCTCCAGTGGTTACCCTCCACTGCCCTGGATGTCCCACGTTTACACTCCACACTCACACCTCCACCTTAACAAAGTCCTCCACTGGGTCAAACCATACATCGCTTCGTCTCTGTAGTGATGACTTCCTGTCCTCTGCTCTGTGGATAAAGACCCCAGATAAAGATGCCTGTGTTGCTCAACTCTTGTAAATACTCTTGAGACATTTTGAAAGCAGAAGGAAAGGAGACAGACGGGGAAAATAAAAGGGATGGTCTGCTTGTGCGGAAACGTTTTGAGAATGCCCTTCCCTAAGAGAGAACAGTAAAAGTGAGCAATACTTCCTGAGCTGTGGGTTCATATGGCTGGACTGTGCTGTTTCTCACGGGAGAAGTTCTCGTCTCCCCTGCGTGTACATCCCTGTTTGCCAGCCTGGCCTTCGGTGTGGTGATATCATGGTGCACTCCCAGGAGGGAAGTGCTTGGTCAAGACTTCTGCTTGGGTTCGACTATCAGTTCTGGTTTCCTTTAAGGCACAGGATCTTCCCTTTAAGGCACAAACACCCCCTTGACACAAAGTAAGGGACAAGGGAACTTTAAACCATTTGGAAACCCAAGCACAATAGGCTGTAGGTTGTAAAAAGAAATTACAAAGGTAATTTTATCCAGAAGAGGGAGCAGTTTAACTTCTGCAGGGTAAGATTCAGATTCACTTTTGTAACTGAACAGGGAATTTTCTAAATATTTTGAAAATGCCGAAACATTTCCTGTTGGCATTTCACAGAAACGTTCAAAGTTCCCTAATGATAGTTTCCGCTGTGCTCACTCCGGAGGCTGCTAAGCAACCTCAGTAATTAGCTCGATTGAGGAAACGAAACTGTGGGGGACTCAGTTTCCATGATAGGGAAACCAGGCAAGAAATATTGTCTCCTCAAGTTGCGACGAGACAGTAGTTCTTGCCTGGTTTCTCTATCATGGAGTCTTGGTTGGACTCTGCTATGCGTCTCTTGATGAAATGTGATACTAGCAATTGAACAATTAAGAAAATGGATGGCGGGGGGTGGAGCGGTTTGTCACTACTGGAGTTGCAGAGGCTCAGTGGGGGAACCTGAGAAACACTGCGTCCCCCAGGTCATCACCGCGTCAGCACTGATGAGTCATGTTGATGGCATGGACCCTGAATATGACACAATGAGATGTCACTTTACCTCTGTGGCCTTTCCCAGAAAAAACCATAACCCCAGTCTAACCATGAGAAAAATATAAGACAATGGTGCAGGCAGGGCATTTCAGGAGAGGGTCAGGTAAAGGGGAGGGGGTCCCAGGAGAGGGTCAGGGGAGGGGACTTCAGGAGAGGGACAGGGAGAGGGGAGGGGGCTCCAGGAGAGGGTCAGGGAAAGGGGAGGGGGTCCCAGGAGAGGGTCAGGGAAAGGGGAGGGGGGTCCCAGGTGAGGGTCAGGGGAGGGGACTTCAGGAGAGGGACAGGGAGAGGGGAGGGGGCTCCAGGAGAGGGTCAGGGAAAGGGGAGGGGACTTCAGGTGAGGGTCAGGGAAAGGCGAGGGGGTCCCAGGACAGGGTCAGGGGAGGGGACTTCAGGAGAGGGACAGGGAGGGGGGAGGGGGGCTCCAGGAGAGGGTCAGGGATAGGGGAGGGGGGTCCCAGGAGAGGATCAGGGGAAGGGGTGGGGCTTCAGGAGAGGGTCTGAGAACACACAGGCAGGCAACACCTTAAAATCCCATCTCAGTCAGCAATGACTCCTCATAGGGCCACCACGAGCTTAAATGTCACTTAAATGTCCCTATTTGCCAGCCTGGACTTCGGTGTGGTGATATCATGGTGCATTCCCAGGAGGGAAGTGCTTGGTCAAGACTTCTGCTTGGGTTCGACTGTCGGTTCTGGTTTCACATGCACTGTGTGAACACGCTTCATACAGAGGGTCAGCACCGCACTGTGTGAACATGCTTCATGCAGAGAGCCTGTACTGCACCAGGTGAACACACTTCATACAGAGAGTCAGCACCGCACCGTGTGAACATGCTTCATACAGAGAGTCAGCACCGCACTGTGTGAACACGCTTCATACAGAGAGTCAGCACCGCACCGTGTGAACACACTTCATACAGAGAGTCAGTACTGCACCGTGTGAACATGCTTCATACAGAAGATCAGCACCTCACTGTGTGAACACACTTCATACAGAAGGTCAGCAATGCACCGTGTGAACACACTTCATACAGAGAGTCAGCACTGCACTGTGTGAACATGCTTCATACAGAAGATCAGCACCTCACTGCGTGAACATGTGTTATACAGAGAGTCAGCACCGCACCGCGTGAACATCCTTCATACAGGTCAGCACTGCACCATGTGAACACACTTCAAACAGAGAGTCAGTACTGCACCATGTGAACATGCTTCATACAGAAGATCAGCACCTCACTCTGTGAACATGTGTCATACAGAAGGTCAGCACTGCACTGTGTGAACACGCTTCATACAGAAGGTCAGCACCGCATTGTGTGAACATGTGTCATACAGAGAGTCAGCACCGCACCGTGTGAACACGCTTCATACAGAGGGTCAGCACCGCATTGTGTGAACATGCTTCATACATGAGGTCAGCACCTCATTGTGTGAACACACTTCATACAGAGTCAGCACTGCACTACGTGAACATGCTTCATACAGAGGGTCAGCACCTCACTGTGTGAACATGTGTCATACAGAGAGTCAGCACTGCACCGTGTGAACATGCTTCATACAGAGGGTCGGGTCAGCACCGCACTGTGTGAACATGCTTCATGCAGAGAGTCTGTCCTGCACCAGGTGAACACGCTTCATACAGAGAGTCAGCACCGCACCGTGTGAACACGCTTCATACAGAGGGTCAGCACCGCACTGTGTGAACACACTTCACACAGAGGGTCTGTACCACATTCCGTCAACATGTGTCAGCACCATACCATGTGAACACGCTTGGTACAGTGATATACATGCATGTGGCAGAGCTGTGAAATTATGACCTGCTGCAGACAGACTTTGTACACTGTGCTATCAGCCAACTGGGCAAATGTGGACAAGAGTCCCTGCATGTCTCTATTCACCAGGTGTCTGTCAAATGAAATGGGCTGAACTGGATAATGGCAGGTCTGACCCATGATTACTGCCTGTAAGAGCTGAGTTATCCCAGAGTGTAGGCGTGGGATATTAAAATATATATATATGCAAATATATTTGGGCTGGGTTTGGTGGGTCATGCCTGTAATCCAGCACTTTGGGAGGCTCAGGCAGGCGGATAACCTGAGGCCAGGAATTCAAGACCAGCCTGGCCAACATGGTGAAACCCCGTCTCTACAAAAAAATACAAAAAATTGGCCAGGCACGGTGGCTCACGCCTATAATCCCAACACTTTGGGAGGCCGAGGTGGGCAGATCACCTGAGGTCAGGAGTTTGAGACCAGGCTGGCCAACATATAGTGAAACCCCAACTCTACTAAAAAAATACAAAAATTAACTGGGAGTGGTGGCAAACGTCTGTGGTCCCAGCTACTTGGGAAGCTGAGGCAGGAGAATCGCTCAAACCCGGGAGGTGGAGGTTGCAGTGAGCCGAGATACCGCCACTCCACTCCAGCCTGGGTGACAGATCAAGACTCCATCTCTCAAAAAAACAAGAACAAAAACAAAAAACAACAACTTAGCCGGACGTGGTGGTGGGTGCCTGTAATCTCAGCTACTCAGGAGGCTGAGGCACAAGAATCCCTTGAACCTGGGAGGTGGAGGTTGCAGTGAGCAGAGATCTCACCATTGCACTCCAGCCTGGGCAACAAGAGCGAAACTCCATCTCAAAAAATAAATAAATAAATAAATAATAAATAAAAATAAAAATATATTTGGTCTTAGTCCTTGGTTCCTGGCACAGAGCTTCAAAAATTCCTGGAATTTCCTGAGTGATAAGGATGTCTGTTTATTTGTAAAGCGCTCCTTCTGACCATGCCTGAGCTTATGCCAGTGAGGTGCCTCAAAGTGGGCCTTTAGAGAGCTTCAAGAGAGGGGCTGGCCATGCCAGAGAGATCAAGTCCATATTTAAAGGGCTAGAACGTTCAGCCCCACCCGACCTCTGCAGAGGGGAGAGGGATTGGGCACTGAGTTCATTCCTGCTTACATGGCTAACTTTTATTTGTCCCTCTCTCTCTCTCTTTTAAAATGAGTATAGGGACCTGAAACAGTGGCTGACACATGCCTGTAATCCTAGTGCTTTGGAAGGCCGAAGTGGGAGGATCACGTGAGCACAGGAATTTGAGACCAGCTGGGGCAACATAGCAAGACACTGTCTCTACAAAAAAAAAAAAAAAAAAAAAAAATTAACCAGGCACAGTGGCATGTACACCTGTAGTCTCAGCTACTCAGGAGGCTGAGGCAGAAGGATCACTTGAGCCCAGGAGGTCCAGGCTATAGTGAGCTATGATGGCACCACTGCATTCCAGCCTGGGTGACAGAAAAAGACTCTGTCTCTAGAAAGAAAAAAAAAGAGGACTTAAATTTTTACATTTTAGCTATAACTTACTGAAACTCTAAGTAGCCTTGAAATTCATAATATCATAAACAGGCTGGGCGCGGTGGCTCATACCTCTAATCCCAGCACTTTGGGAGGCCGAGGTGGGTGGATCATCTGAGGTCCGGAGTTCGAGACCAGCCTGGGCAACATGGCGAAACCCTGTCTCTACTAAAAAATACAAAAAATTATCCCAGCTACTTGGGAGGCTGAGGCAGGAGAATTGCTAGAACCTGGGAGACGGAGGTTGCAGTGAGCTGAGATCACGCCACTGCATTCCAGCCTGGGCAACAGAGCAAGACTTGGTCTCAAAAAAGTAAAATAAAAATTAAAAACTATTAAAAAACATATACTGAGGAGAGAGTACTTAAGGAAATGAAATGAGTTACATATTCTGCTCTGCTTTTCCTGTAAAGGAAATGTCAGAAGAGTCGGGGAAAGGGTCCCAAAGGCTGTCCCCTGGCAGATCCCCAGGTCAACACTTGGGGTGGGAGCTGAGAACCCTGGTGTGGAGCTCAGGTCTGAGCCATCCCCTACAATGCAGCTGTTACACAGAGTCCTACATCAAGGCTCCCAGGTGCATATACATATATATATATTTTTTTTTTTAATTAATTAATTAATTAATTTTTTTGAGACAGAGCCTTACTCTATTGCCCAGGCTGGAGTGCAGGGGCATGATCTCAGCTCACTGCAACCTCTGCCTCCTGGGTTCAAGCGATTCTCCTGCTCCCGAGTAGCTGGGATTATAGGCGTGCACCACCACGTCCGGCTAACTTTTTGTATTTTTAGTAGAGACGGGGTGGGGGCGGTCTCACCATGTTGGCCAACCTGGTCTCGAACTGCTGACCTCAGATGATCCACCTGCCTCGGCCTCCCAAAGTGCTGGGATTACAGGCGTGAGCCACTGCGCCTGGCCCCAGGTGTTTTAAAAAGCAGATGCCTCTGCCACTGCTTTGTCCCTTGAACCTGTCCAGAGTGCTGGGCTGTTGCGGGTTCCTTACAAAAATGTAGCCCAACTTGCTGAATTCATAGACAATTTAGAATTAAGAACAACATTTAGAACTTTGATGTTAACTCATGCATTCTTTGGTCCAAAGTAGAAATTTCCTCTTCACTATCCCTGAGTAGATTATCAAGTTGGCTTCGGTGACAAAAACGAGCATCGCGTTTCCATGGAGGGCTTCCCGTCTGTGTATGAGAAAGTTCTGGACATCACACTGCTTCCGACACATCCACATTAGTCCCCAGAGCCATGCAGAAGCAGCCTGCTGTCCATGACACAGTGCTCCATGCGACGGCACCTACACTTGTGGAAGGTTGACTAGGTGTTCCTCACCCAGGTGTGTTGGAACAAGCATTCTGGTCTGTCTCTCATCCAGTCTTACTGGTTGGTAAGTGTCTGTCGCGAATTGTGCTGTGCGTCGCTAGTGGGTGGGGCTAGAGGTTGTGGCTCCTGGGACGTGCTCTCATTTGCATTCAGCTTCCTGTTGCCATACCTGAAACACACTTAGGCAGCCTGAGCTCCAACAACCAGTTACTGCACGTGTACTACAGGGGAGGCAAATGCTCTTAACCACCTTCTGGACTGTATCTCGATTGATCCTAACCTTTATAGACATTTCATTTAATCTACCCAAAAACCTTAGGAGATTGCCATTTCTATCTCCAATCATAGATGATGCGGCTGGGTCTGTGACGATATGAGAAATTCACCTCAAGGACCCACCCAGTAAGAGGCTGCACTGGGATTCAGACCCAGGTCCTCTTGCCACAAAAGCTTCCTTCCAATTTCCGTATTGTATTGTCCAGATCTACCTGATGGTTTTCTCTCATTTCGGAGTCTTATCCTCTGAATGAAGAAAATCCAACTCCTTCCGAAATTCTGCCACAGAATATCACCCTCATCTCCCTCTGACTATGGGTGGCACCCACATCTGAAAGCCATCTCTAAACAGGTCAGGCCAGAGTGTGGGGCATGGCCCCTACCCCCTTACTGGATGTGGCTGCTTATGCTTCTACCAGTGCTAAAACCTTCCTCGCCATATTGGTGAATATTGACTTTGTGGTCAGTTAAAATTTCAGATTTTTCTTCATGTGAAGTGCTACTAAAATAGGCCTCCCACTTCTGGCATTGGCAGAATTGATTTTTTTTAAATCTAAATTTAAAGCATCTATATCGTCATTATTACGTTTCTTCATACTGGTCTGGGATGACATTTCACCTAGTGGAGTTCTTTCAAATCTTGATTCTGTCATCCACGGCAATAGGCTTGTGCTATTCGAAAATTTCTTCTTTGTGGCCCTCTATGCTTCCATCAAAGTTGTTTGTGAGAGGGTGAGACAGGACCACACACAGGCAGAGCCCTGTGGCATACCTTGAGAGACCTCCCTCCCAAGTGAGCCACAGTTTTAGGTCATTTCTTTTTTTCTTTTTTTTTGAGACAGAGTCTCACTCTGTTGCCCAGGCTGGAGTGCAGTGGCGCAGTCTCAGCTCTCTACAAACTCCACCTCCCGGGTTCCAGCGATTCTCCTGCCTCAGCCTCCCAACTAGCTGGGATTACAAGCATATGCCACCACGCCCAGGTAATTTTTGTATTTTTAGTAGAGACAGGGTTTTACCATGTTGGCCAGCCTGGTCTCGAACTCCTGACCTCAGATGAACCACCCGCCTCGCCATCCCAAAGTGCTGGGATTACAGGCATGAGCCACCGCACCTGGCAATTTTAGGTCATTTTTATAGCCAGCTAACAATCCTTTTTTTTTTTTTTTTGAGACGGAGTTTCATTCTTGTTGCCTAGGCTGGAGTGCAGTGGCGCGATCTTGGCTCACCGCAACCTCCGCCTCCCGGGTTCAAGCGACTCTCGAGCCTCAGCCTCCTGAGTAGCTGGGATTACAGGTGCACACCACCACGCCTGGCTAATTTTGTATTTTTAGTAGAGACGGGGTTTCTCCATGTTGGCCAGGCTGGTCTCGAACTCCTGACCTCAGGTGATCCACCCGCCTCAGCCTCCCAAAGTGTTGGGATTATAGGCGTGGGCCACCGTGCCCGGCCAATCCTTTATTACAATATAAGCTTACTCTTGTTTATCTTGTCCTCAGAGTAATAATCGGAGGCTTCGGTGAACGCCTCATTCTTCGTTCTGAATTCCCAGGCAAACTTTTTTGCACCATGATTATGCCATGCAGATCGTTTCTGTCATGTACTTTGCTTCCTGTATCTTGCTGTTTATACTGGGACCTGAATTCCTCTTGTTGGGGCTCCATTTTCATTCAAATTATAGTTATTCTATCCATGCAGTTTAGAGAGCTTTTTATTCTCCTTATCATTCATCAAGAAACTGAACTGAGCAATGTTGTATCATCTGTCCACATGGCTTGGTTTGTTCTGAGCTATAATCTTCATTCACTTATTCAGCAAAATTTCCTAAACAACTACTATATGCCAGGTGTTTTAGATACTGGGGACGCAGCAGTGAACAACTGGGTCAAAGCCTTATTCTCCTGATGTTATGTTCTATTGAAGGAGATAGGCAACCAGTTTCTGATGGTGACTGAGGCTACAAAGCAAACAGAAAGTAACTCGGGATGAGAACAGAAGCCAGGGAAGGTCTCAGGGAAGAGGTGGCATTGAGCCGAGACCAGAATTAGAAGAAGGGGTGAGTCATCTAGAAAGAGGCAATATCAGGGACAAAGACCTGAAAGAAAATGAGCCTTCTAAGGTGAGACACTGAAAGGAAGCTGGTGAAATGAGGGGGAAAGAAGGATGCGAGGTCAGAGGAACTCCCCAGTGGACTGCTTACATGGATATTTGCAAGAGAAAATTAAATTATAGACATTCTAGGTACCCCAGTGAGGAGGACCAAGCTGGACTGAAAAGGAGAAATTACGTGATGTCCTGGCATTTATGTCTCAGCGGAAGCCAGTGATTTGTATTTTATAAATGATGGAATTCTGCCCTCTGGAGGATGAAGCTGTGTTACACAGCTGAAATTTTAATGCTAGGTTTCTTCCATTATTTGGCAGAAAATGAAAGGACTAAAAGAAACCCTGGCCAGGCGCGGTGGCTTGCTTGTAATCCCAGCACTTTGGGAGGCTGAGGCGGGCAGATTGCTTGAGGTCAGGAGTTCGAGACCAGCTTGGCCAACATCGTGAAACCCTGTCTCTACTAAAAATACAAAAAATTAGCTGGGCATGGTGATGCACACCTGTAGTCCTAACTACTCAGGAGGCTGAGGCAGGAGAATCGCTTGAACCTGGGAGGCGGAGGTTGCAGTGAGCAGAGTCAAGATCGTGCCACTGCACTCCAGTCTGGGTAACACAAAAAGACTCCGTCTCAAAAAGAAAAAAAAAAAGAAAAGAAAAGAAAAAAGAAGAAACCCTGAGAGATTATTTTATCTGTTTCTCTCATTTCAATCACGTAAGCTGCCTAAGATAGGAAAATGTAAATGATTTTAGACTTTCCTGGAAGCGTCTTGTTATCTGCAACCACTGTCCAGGGGCCAAAATTATTCACTGTCATGAAATTAGTCTCACCCAAAATTCTCAGACTATTATAAGAAAACATTATCTGTAAAATGATTTTGTGTTATTTTTCTAGTTGTGTTTATAAGTTACAAATTAGTTTTTTGGTGTTTTTTGTTTTTTATTTTTGAGACAGGTTCTCACTTTGTCACTCAGGTTGGAGTGCAGTGGCGCGATCATAGCTCACTGCAGCCTCATGCAACTCCTGGGTTCAAGTGATCCTCTCACCTCAACCTCCCAAGTAGCTGGGACCACAGGTGTGTACCACCACACCCAGCTAATTTTTAAAGTTTTTTAGAGATAGGGTCTCCCTATGTTGCCCAGGCTCAAAAAATTATTTATTAAAAACAAATGTAATAATTATTTTCATATTTCTCCTTTGCTATACTAAATACAGGCTATGGCACACAAAAATTGCTTTTTTTGAGTTTAAAATATTTCCAGTTGCTGAACTGCTAGTGGATTACTATACATTTTATCTTTTGAGGATAAAATAAAATATATTACCTAAAATAAATCACCTAAAATAAATTACCTAAAAGAAAATATATTATTTTATTTTACCTAAATAAAATAATAAAATAAAATAAAATATATTAGTACCTAAAATAAAATATATTACCCAGCGAGCACAACATGGAAATAATTTACCCACAAGAATTATATTTAACATATTTACAAAACGCTATTGTGAGACTTTTAATTTCACCATGCTGCAAGTTTATTAAAAGTGTCACAATTCACTTAATAGCAGTTTCTTAAACTGAACAAGAAAACAAGCTAATTCAAAATGACTTGAAGAGTGAAGAAAAAAATTCTCAAGATGCTTCTGAGAGTTCTGGGTGATCAGTAGCAGCTCGTTTGAAGAGCCAGAAAAAGTCTAAGTTCTACTTTCAGGAGCTGGAGGCAGGAGGAATAATTCAGGAATAATTCAAGGTGGAGGAGAATAAGGAAAAACGCTTAGGAGACTGACACTTCTCCATATTATTGTTGGATGAGATGGGCTAGGAAGACTCGGGGGCAGTAATGTGGCCGTGTCCACACATTTCTCCTAGACAAGAGGGATAAGAACAAGGCCGGCTTCTCAAGAAGAGCCCCTGTCTTAGTCTTTTCCTGCTGCTTTATCAAAACATCTTGTAAACACTAGACACCTATTTCTTACAGTTCTGGAGGCTGGGAAGTCCAAGGCTGGGAAGTTCGAGATCTGCAGGTGCAGACTCAGTGTCTGATGAGGGCATTTTCTTGCGGTGTTCTCATTTGGTGGGAAAGGCAGAAGGGACAAATGCTGTGTCCTCACCTGACAGAACAGATGTTTTATGGGCTGAATGTGTCTCCCCAAAATTCATATGTTGAAACTTTATCACCAATGTGATAGTATTAAGAGGTAGAGCCTTAAGAAGTGCTTAAGTCATGAGGGCAGAACCGTCATGGGTGGGATTTGGGCCCTTGAGGGAGTGCGTTCATCCCTTTCCATCCCTCCCACCGCCACGTGAAGATACAGTATATTTCCCCCTTGGATGCAGCAACAAGGTGCCATTTTGGAAGCAGAGAGCAGCCCACACCAGGCACCAAATATGTGGATGCCTTATTCTTGGACTTCCCAGCCTCCAGAACTGTGAGCAATACATTTCTGTTTTTAATAAATTGCCCAATCACAGGTATTTATAGCAGCACAAATGGACTATGACAGAAATTGATACTGAGAATGGGATGTTGCTATAACTAATACCTAAATATGTGGAAACAGCTTTGAAACTGAGTAATGGGTAGAGGCTGGAAGAATTTGGAGATGCATGCTGGAAAAAGCCTGTATAGACATAAACAGAGCTTTAAGGGAAATTAAGGGTGAGGGCTCAGAAGACAAGGAGAGCTGTAGGGAGAGCCTAAATCATCTTAGAGATTAATTAAGTGGTCTGGTCTTGATCAGAATGCGGTTAGAAGTATAGATGGTAAAGACACTTTTGATGAGATCTTAAAAGGAAACTGGAGGAAAGGTCATCCTTGTTACACAGTGGCAATGAACTTGGCTGAATTGTGTCTATGTCCTAGTGTTTTCTGAATGGCAGAACTTAAAGGCAATAAACTAGGATATTTGATGGAAGAAATCTCTGAGCAAAGCGTTGAGAGTGCAGCATGGCTTCTCTTGACTGCTTGTAGTAAAATGTGAGCAGAGAGAATGAATTAAAAACGAAGTTTATAATCAAGAGGGAAGCAGAGCTTAAAGTTTTGGAAAATTCTCAGCCTGGCCATGTAAAGAATGAAAAGGCATGTTTGGGAGGGAACACCAAGAGTGCTGCCAGGTTCACATTTGATAATGAGATGAGTATGTGTAGAAGGAAGCCAGATGCTATTTATCAAGACAATGGAAGAATGAACCCAAAGGCATTTCTGAGGTTACTGGTTCTGGATTCTCATCCCTGTCCCAGAGTGCCAGGACCCTGAGGGCAGAATAGTTTTAAGGGAGGACTCAGGACACCATGGAACCTTGGGGCTTGCTGCCTAGGGCTGCCTCAAGTCTCTGCCCCCCCACCCCCCACATTCTGGTGCAGCACTCTTTGGCCACCATCCCACGTGTGGCTTATGCAGGCCCTTGTCAGGCCACCCTTCCTGTAAGCCTTGGCAGAGTCCACGTGATGCTAACTCTGCAGGTGCACAGAGTGCATGAACTGTGGAGACACAGCCACCTCCACCTAGATTTTGAAGGATGTGTTGGGGACCCTGGGGGCCCAGTCTGAGAATTGTCACTGAGGTGAGGCTGCTGCAGAAAACCCTCACTAGGGCAATGTTTAGTGGAGCAGTGGGATTGGGGCCACTGCAGAGAGCCCCAAATAGAGTAATATCTAGTGGAGCTGTGGGAACAGGGCTGTCCCTGAGAACCCAGAACTGTCCAGCCACCAGCATGCAAGTCTATCCTGGGAGAGCCTAGACCTCAACCTGTGAGAGCTGCTGCATGGGTTGCACCTGGCAAATCCATGGGAGTGGATCCCCTGGACACTAGGGGACCCAGTCTCCACCCCCCTGTGCTCGGAATGGGGGACACAGCATCAAAGAAGATTATTCTGAAGCCCCAAGATTTAATGCTGTTTGCCTTGTTGGGTTTGGACTTACTTGGGACCAGATACTCCTTTCTTCTTGCCTGCTTCTCCCTTTGGGAATGGGAATGTACGTCCTATGCCTGTCTCATCACTGTATTTTGAAGGCCTGTAACCTATTTGATTTCACGGGCTCATAGCTGGAGGGGAATTTCACTTAGGATGAATTGTACTTTGAATCTTATGCCTTTCTAATTTAGAAGATATTTAGGTGAGACTTTGGACTTACATTTTAAAGTTGATACTGGAACTTTGGAGGCCACTGGGATACAATGCATGCATTTTGCATGTGAGAGGGGTATGAATTTGGAGGGCAGGGGCAGAATGCTATGCTTTGAATGTCTGTGTTCCCTGCAAAATTCATGCTGAAACAATCCTCAATGCAATACTAACAGGTGGTGCCTTTAGGAGGTGACTGGATTATGAGGGCACCTTCCTCATGAATGGGATTGGCCCCTTATACGAGAGACTTCACATGAGATTTGGCCCCTTTTGCCCTTCCACTTTCCACCATTGAGGACGCAGCAGCAAGCTGTCATCTTGGAAACAGAGAGCAGGTGTTTGGAACTGGTTCTGTTTCATCTGATTCTGGGGGCCCCTCTTTTTCCCTGTGCAAGATCCCCAAATTTGCTTCCTTCTCTCAAAGAAAGCTCCCAATATAGATGGGACTCAAAGGGAGTCATTTGCCCTCTAAGAGGTGTCACAATATGTCGTCTCAGTCATTCACACCTTAGTAAGAAAAAGCTTTTCAGGTCCTTGCCAGAGATTCGGGGAAAGGCTTTGAACTGAGAAAGAAGCCGCGCCCCTGAGGAGGGCGCTGCCCGGAAGCCACGCTCACTTCTGCTTGCACTTAGGCGACCTCGGGAGCTCGGACTCCTACGCAGTCACCGGGAAGGGCCGCCGCCCCGCCCGCGGCTGCTGGCCCGGGTGACGCTTCCGCCTGCTATAAGAGCAGCGGCCCTCGGTGCCTCCTTCCTGACCTCGCACCCAGCTCGGAGCCCGGAGCGTGCCTCGGCGGCCTGTCGGGTAAGGCCGGGCCTCGGAGCGGTGGCGCGGGGGCGGGCGCGGGGAGAGGCCAGGCTCCCTCGCTCAGCTTCCAGCCCGGCACCCCCCACCCCCCAGGCTCAGGCCCCTCAGACCCGCAGCTCCCTGCGCTCGCCCTCCCCGCCAGCTTCGCGCCCCCATCCCTTCCGGGCGCCCCGACGGAGACAGACGACCTCTGATCCCCCGCCCCCGCCTGGGTACAGGCCGGGCCAGCCCGCGAGGGAGGGAGGGAGGGAGGACGACAGATGCAGGCGGAAGGCAAGACTGAAACCTGAGATCAGAATGTTGTCCCTTCTCCCTGAATTCCCTTCCTCCCAGAGCTGTTTGTGACGGTTTCCAGGCAGCCCAGGGCCAGGCCGCGGCTCCTATCTGCAGCTGCAGGGAGAGAGAGGAGGAACCCCGTGCGATTCTAGAGACGATTTCACAACAAGGAGAAATCAGCTTTGTGCTTACATGCCGAGCAGCCAGCACGGTTCTTCTTTGCCTGTCCTCGGGGGAAATCAGGGCTCTGAGAGTGGAGATCGAGATGGGCTAGTGGGTGGCGGATGGGACGCTGCACGGCCAGACCCTGGACTGTGGTGGGTTTCCAAACTGGCACATCCTACACCGGCTCTGAGACTGTGGGCACTGGACCTCATACCTTTTGAACCTCAAAAATAAGGAAGAATTATATTATTATAATAATTACAGTGATACCTTTGCTGGAGTTTTAATGCATAGTAGGTAGCTGAGTCTCTGATAGAAGGCTCTTAGTTCAGGTGAAGGTAGGCAATGGATTCATTGCCCAATGAATCAGAGACTTGAATCAAAGGCTCAGAAGCACGTGCGCTCCCACACATAGGTTGGGAAGACCCAGGGCTGGGTGGGCCCTCCCACCCCACTAAAGCTGGGGTAGCTGGGGCCTGCCTTACCCCCGCCCCACCCCCAGACTCACCTGTCTGCAAGGTCAGAGCCCTTTAGGGCACCCTGGGTGCCCTAAAATCCCCTATAACTGCTGAGTCCTTGGCCAGAATGGTCCCACATTTGTGGGCCTGGGAAAGTGTTCTTGCCCTGCTGGAATAAAAAAGCGGGGAGAAAGTACAAGATCCAGGATGCCTCAGGGCGGTTGGCAGAAATTGAGGAAGCTTCTGGAGAAATAGTGCTGCCTAATCTGCTGGCGTGGGCAGTGGGCACCATGAGGACCCTGTTCTGTGTTGCAGTTTTCACCATGGAGCAGCTGAGCTCAGCAAACACCCGCTTCGCCTTGGACCTGTTCCTGGCGTTGAGTGAGAACAATCCGGCTGGAAACATCTTCATCTCTCCCTTCAGCATTTCATCTGCTATGGCCATGGTTTTTCTGGGGACCAGAGGTAACACGGCAGCACAGCTGTCCAAGGTCAGCAGAAACAAAAAAAAGGGTCTGCTTTCCTCCCATCTCCCTACGAATGGACAGTCTGCATGGAAAGGTTGTGCCTTTGAGCTCTTACCTTGTGTTTTCAGAACTGTATTTTTATGAGA
Organism: Homo sapiens; assembly: GCF_000001405.40. NCBI lineage: Eukaryota > Metazoa > Chordata > Mammalia > Primates > Hominidae > Homo > Homo sapiens. Next base: position 2,840,296 of record NC_000006.12, on the reverse strand, counting down.
TCAGACTTTCAGAAAAGTCACACTTGTATGCAGGCTTCCATTCATCATCAGGTTTTTCCTAAGTACCTACCACGTACCAGGAACTGTTTTTCGTATTGCTGAGGAGACAGCAGTGAGCAAAGCTGACAAAAATCCCTGCAGGGCGAGGCTTCTGTTCCAGTGGATGAATCTGACAGCTTTCCTGAAAGGCATACTACATCCTCCTGAGCTAGCATCTTCCAGTTTTTGCTTTGCATATGATGATATGCAACTCATAAATATTGCCTGTTATATAACACTACTTTCAAGCATAATGAGAGGAATAAGACATAGGGAATGCATTATAGTGGAGATAGTGGCATTGCTTTTTTGCAAGGAAAAGAGAAAAAGTGACCCTGTGGTTCTGTAGTCCCAGGGTGCTGCGCATGGCTCAGTGGGCTGTGGCATAGCACGCCCTGCAGGGGAGGTGAGGGGGAGACCCGCAGCTTCAGGGGCGGGACCCAGCCCTTGGCGATGTGACAGGTCACTCTCATGCCCAGCCTTCCTTCTTGTCCATAATGGACATGGAGAGGACTTCTGTGCTTGGTACTCTTTAATTCTGAGAAGAGAACTCTAGCTCTCTCTCTCTAAGCTCAGCAGAAAGGAGTGGTAAAAGTGGAGGCTCTTCTAACATACCTGCCGCAAATTACACTGCACCTGTTCCTTGGCAAGGTGCAGCCTGGGATTCAAGTTCAAGGGGCTGCGAAACTTCTATTACTCATCACTTTAGATATGAAAGCATTTTAAATGTTTTTTTTAAATCCATTAAAAAAAAAAAACCTCTGTTACTAATTGTTAGTTGCTTCTTGCAGGGTTATATCAGTTCCTAGCTTGAGGTTTTCCAGGGACTTTAAAACCTCAGCAAAGAATAGTTTTAAGGACTCCTCCCCCATTTCCATTAAAGCAGATGGAGCATAGGCACAGTGCAAACATTCCATATCTCGGTGAGTAATGTGGACTTCGTACCCTATGCAATTTTGTTCTTTGTGTCTTAATCATAAAGGAACCAGCCTAGGTCTCATAAAACCACAAAGGGCCTCTTGATTTGTAACTGATACATGGGGAATTAAACTTTTGCCAGAATGTTAAGTTTAAGGAAGTTATTTTAAAATAAGTGAGTTACTGATGTTAATAGGGTAATAAAATTTTAAAAGCTTCAGTCTGTACTATCTTTGTGGTTCTGAATAGAGGATGAATCCTATTTTTACTGCTTATTTCTGAGAACTTTCAGTAAAATTATATTTGATACAGAATATAAATATGAACATACCATTTATTATTTTCTTTGGAAAAGGCAGACTTATATATAAATATTTAGTATCTTAACCACCCACATTTGTGGAACTGCAAGTGTAACAAAGAGTGATGTAAAAGCAATGTGTAAAGTTGTAAACATTCTGTCTCACGAAGCCATAAATTTTGGATTTCCTATTGTTTGTTCTGCAATGACAAATTAATAAAGTATTGGGTTTGGGATCATCAATAATTAGTAATAAAAACACATTAATTTAATGTGATAGAAGGAAACACCAAGGAATCACTTTATAGTTTCAAAATAAATGGTTGTAGAAAGAAGATTTTCTTTATTTTAGACTTTCCATTTCAACACGGTTGAAGAGGTTCATTCAAGATTCCAGAGTCTGAATGCTGATATCAACAAACGTGGAGCGTCTTATATTCTGAAACTTGCTAATAGATTATATGGAGAGAAAACTTACAATTTCCTTCCTGTAAGTACTTTGCCCTTCACATTCTAAAACCCCACTAGACAGTGCAGATATTTTCCAGCACAATCAAGTCATGGAGGTCAGTTTTAATATTTGTAAACTTTCAGAAAAACAATACAGAAGGCAAACATGGCAAAAACAATATGGAAGGCAAACACGACAGAATGCAAACTTTAATTGACATGGTGATTTTGTGTTACAGTCTTTTTAGTGAAAAGATAGCTCTTGGAGGTTTTACTGAAGCAAGAGTACAATCAGTGTTTGTGAAATCTTAGTCAAAGTTCAGAAAAGAGTGGTAATTTCTATATAACAACAACAGTATAAGGGTTAGGCTTACCACTACTGGAATGCACAGTTAAAAGTGGCTAAGATCGTAAATTTAATGTTAAATGATTTTTACTACTATAAGAAAAACTATAAGAGTTAGAAATTTTGTGTTACATGGAATTGTAGCCTTTTAGGACAATTTCTGTTGCTTTTTGGGATTTTAGAAAACAATTTCTATATGTAGTAGGAGTTATATATATATTTCCTTTTCCTTTTTTTTAATAGGAGTTCTTGGTTTCGACTCAGAAAACATATGGTGCTGACCTGGCCAGTGTGGATTTTCAGCATGCCTCTGAAGATGCAAGGAAGACCATAAACCAGTGGGTCAAAGGACAGACAGAAGGTGAGAGCCTGGGCAGAATGGAATCATTATGCGCTGGTCATGTCATTCGTTTCCTCAGTCCGCCTTCCCTACCTGCAGTTATTCCCTCCCCAGCTCCCACAGTCCTGGCGCACATCGTGGTTACAGTCAGAGGACGCTGCCGGTGCGTGAAGTCTGCACTGCACGTTGCTGGACAGCTCTCACATGTTCGAAGTTCACCAGAGTGGAAACTTAAACATGATTTAACTCAAGCAGCTAAATCCTTTTTTCTCATCAGCTCCCCAAAACTTTTAAAGTTGCATTTCAAAGTTAAAACCAACATTGGCAGGCGCGGTGGCTCATGCCTGTAATCCCAGCACTTTGGGAGCCCAAGGCGGGCGGATCATTTGAGGTCAGGAGTTCAAGACCAGCTTGGCCAACATGATGAAACCCTGTCTCTACTAAAAATACAAAAAATTTAGCCAGGTGTGGTAGCACACACCTGTAATCCCAGCTACTCTGGAGGCTGAGGCAGGAGAATCTCTCGAACACAGGAGGTAAAGGTTACAGTGAGCCGAGATCATGCCACTGTACTCCAGCCTAGGCAACAGAGCGAGACTCCGTCGTAAAAAAAATAATAAAAATAATAAAAAATAAAAAATAAAGTTAAAACCAACACTGAATACAGCAAAAAAGGAATTAAAATTTTGAGGAGAATTCAGCCTGCCAAAAATTACCTAATACTCATATGGAAAGAAATGTCCTGGAATTTCATGGAAATACCTGAAATCAATATTCACAAACTACTGTGGTTGTAAATTTTTTGCCAACATCTTGTCCAGTAAAAAAGTTGTGGTAGGTGGGGACTGACTTGCTTTTAGGGTGCAATTTATTTCTTTGCTACATCTCTCTTCTTACATAGCCCTGTATTAGTCAACCCACTCCAGAAGACCTGTCTTCCATTATGGGAATTGTTCCCAGCCATACTTATGGTCACGAAGGTGACCTTTATTTCCATGGAGTATGTTCTGCTGGTTTTTTTGTTTGTTTGTTTGTTTTTTGTTTTTAAGAGACAGAGTCTTGCTCTGTCGCCCAGGCTTGAGTGCAGTGGTGCGATCGTGGCTCACTGCAGCCTTGACCTCCTGGGCTCAAGGAATCTTCTCATCTCCACCTCCCAAAGCACTGGGACTGCAGGTGTGCGCCACCATGCTTGGTCTTGTTCTGCCTTTTGGATATTGTTTAAACCTTTTTTTGTGAGAGTAGGCATCTACTCAGCGATTTGAAGAAGTGATTTACTGATGACTAAAGATATCTTCATTAAGAATTTTTTTTTTCTAAAAAAGAATGGTTGTTACAAAATAAGGCTCATTGTTTATCATACAGTCCAGAAAAGGAGAATTTTCCTGTCTTTTGTCTTTCGGCACATTTGACTTGTTTAAAATGTCAGGTCCTTGTGGGAAGTTTGTGTGTCATCCTGGTCTGTCTGCCCCACAGGTTGTTATACTTAAAGTAGAGACATGTTAGTGAGTAGGGCTTTCCTAAGTTAATATCTTGTTAAATGAAAATTAAGTAGAAATTATATATTTGAATTGCATTTCCGTGCTAATATATTGTCAGTTCAAATTTGGAATTCCGATTTGGATTTTTTTTACGCTAACTTGATTTTTTTTTAGGAAAAATTCCGGAACTGTTGGCTTCGGGCATGGTTGATAACATGACCAAACTTGTGCTAGTAAATGCCATCTATTTCAAGGGAAACTGGAAGGATAAATTCATGAAAGAAGCCACGACGAATGCACCATTCAGATTGAATAAGGTGAGGTGAGGTAACTGTACAGAGTCATGCATTGCTCTAAAAGAATGCAGAGAATAATTTCAGTGATTTTTTAAAACTGTTCAGAAAGACAGAAAAACTGTGAAAATGATGTATCAGAAGAAAAAATTTGCATATGGCTACATCGAGGACCTTAAGTGCCGTGTGCTGGAACTGCCTTACCAAGGCGAGGAGCTCAGCATGGTCATCCTGCTGCCGGATGACATTGAGGACGAGTCCACGGGCCTGAAGAAGGTATGGCTCCTGGGCTTCATGCTTTGTGGTTCCTCTTGCATGTGTGTGTCGCATGGTAGGTAGGTGCTTGTTAAGTGTTCACTGATGGTGCATTTTCCAGTAGTTTGTCATTCCTTTGTAAATGTAGCCCATCAACACTTACTACACTAAAGCCCAGAGTTAATTTTTTTTTAAATTTACTTATAGAGACAAGGTCTCACTATGTTGTTTAGGCTGGTCTTGACCTCCTGGCTTCCAGCAATCCTCCTGCCTCAGCCTTCTGAGTAGCTGGGACTATAGCTGTGAGCCACTGTGCCCGGCTAACGTTTCATTTTTCAAGAAAGATGGCCAGCTACTTTCAGTGGACACTTGTGATGGGGTCATTAAAGATCTATACTAAATATAATACTGGTTAGTGGCAGCTCATGGAAAGGCTCTTGAATTAGCTTTAGAGGAAATTACAGTAAGATGAGGATTGTTTTACTGAGGAAAAAGATTGAAAAGCCCCAAATAGTGTAGCATATATCTTCATCACGTACTATAAAATTCTATTATTACACTGTTTGTTCTCATCACAATTCATATAGATAGTGAATTAAATTTTCAATGGGTACAAGACAGAAAAAGCCTCATGTGACATGTTAGGCCTATTTACTAGTATGATCTTTGCATGAGGTTTCCATTATATGTAGGGACTCTAGCCTGCTCTGTGCTCTCCGTCTCCTCCCTATCCACCTATTCATCATCCTTGCTATCAGGAAGGGGGTCTAATGTTAATCATTTGCATGTACAGACTTTTAATACATTGTATAACAATCAATGTGGCCTTTCTTTTGGTTGTATTTTTGCATTAGTTTTTTTTCTGATTGTAAAGTGAAAATCTCTAGCCTCTTAAAAGGAATTATCAGCACCATTAGAAGAAGTAGAGTGATGGTTCTATTCCAGTCCAATAGCTATAACAATAGTAATGATAATAGCTGACATTTATGTAGCACTATGGGCCAAGCACTTTATATACATCATTTCATTTAATGCTCTCAACAATCTATAAGGTAGATATAAGTAATGTCCACATCACATTTCAGATGAGGAACTAGCTCCAGTGCATAATCTGCCTTTAAAATTTTTACCTAGGAGCTAAAGTTATTAGATATTACTTCAGCTTCAGTGGGATTCAGACTAAATAGAAGAAATATTTTAAATTTCTTCTAGCACTACTCAACCTGGAAGTAATAGCAGCTGTCATGACCTATCACTGTAATCCATTGTGGTAGGGGTTTAGTAAACCCTGGATGAATGGATGGATGGATGAATGGGTAGATGGATGGGTGGATGGGTGGATGAGTAAATGGGTGGATGGATGATAGATAGGTGGATAGATTGTTGGATGGGTGGGTGGGTGGATAGGTGAATGGATGGATGGATGGGTGGATGGGTAGATGGATGATGAATAGGTGGATAGATGGTTGGATGGGTGGGTGGGTAGATAGGTGAATAAATGGATGGATGGATGGGTGGCTGTGTTGCTGGGTAGCTGGGTGGATGGATGGATGGATGGATGGATGGATGGATGGATGGATGAGTGGACAAATGGGTGGATGGATGGGTGGATGGGTGGGTGAGTGGATGATGGACCCAATGTACAAATCCCTTGAACCTTTGATGACTTGGAACACCACCTCTGCCCTATTTCACCAATTGCCATAATGAAATAAAATGCTCCAAATGGAATCTGTTTTGGCACAAAACATGAAGGAAACTAACTAGCAACTGATATTATGGGTCCATTGATTCAATAATACTTTATTGCCTTACTTATGTAAAATTGATATCACTTCCTCTTTCGCCTCATTTTTAATTGCAGATTGAGGAACAGTTGACTTTGGAAAAGTTGCATGAGTGGACTAAACCTGAGAATCTCGATTTCATTGAAGTTAATGTCAGCTTGCCCAGGTTCAAACTGGAAGAGAGTTACACTCTCAACTCCGACCTCGCCCGCCTAGGTGTGCAGGATCTCTTTAACAGTAGCAAGGCTGATCTGTCTGGCATGTCAGGAGCCAGAGATATTTTTATATCAAAAATTGTCCACAAGTCATTTGTGGAAGTGAATGAAGAGGGAACAGAGGCGGCAGCTGCCACAGCAGGCATCGCAACTTTCTGCATGTTGATGCCCGAAGAAAATTTCACTGCCGACCATCCATTCCTTTTCTTTATTCGGCATAATTCCTCAGGTAGCATCCTATTCTTGGGGAGATTTTCTTCCCCTTAGAAGAAAGAGACTGTAGCAATACAAAAATCAAGCTTAGTGCTTTATTACCTGAGTTTTTAATAGAGCCAATATGTCTTATATCTTTACCAATAAAACCACTGTTCAGAAACAAGTCTTTCATTTTCTTTGTAAGTTTGGCTCTGTTGGCTGTTTACACCCATGAATTTTGGCATGGGTATCTATTTTTCTTTTTTACATTGAAAAAAATCCAGTGGTTGCTTTTGAATGCATCAAGTAAAGAAGAAGAAAAGAATACATCCGATGCGTAGATTCTTGACCATGTAGTAATCTATAAAATTGCTATATCCTCCTGATAGCCATGGGAAAACATGATAAGATGGTCATTTATTTTGCAGTTAGAATTTTGGAAGCCACAAAATAGACAGACACCCTGACTGTTGAAGGGAGGTTTAAAAACAGATATTCAATTGAAATGTAAGAGAGCACCCCAATTGAGAGCCCAGGTTACGAAGACAAGCTTGCCTCGCCTGACTTTTCTGTCCCTTGTTCTGCAGGATTAGTATTCTGTTACAGACCTCTAGTTTTTAGACTCTTCAATTAAAGGGCCAATGGTTATAACCTGCATTCCCTTTTTTGTTCTTCTTTATGTATAATATATAGTTCATGTGGCGCTGCATGAAATCAAGAAGTGGGTGTCTTAGGATAAAAGATACCAAGAGTCTACAAAAATAACCATGTAGTAAGATAAACTGCTGAACAAAGGTTTTACTGTTAGCCACCTTCTCATGTGTTTTCTTTTCTCTTTTTCTTTTTCTTTCTTTCTTTCTTTTTTTTTTTTTTGAGACAGAGTCTTGCTCTGTTACCCAGGCTGGAGTGCAGTGGCACGATCTCAGCTCACCGCAACCTCTGCCTCCTGGGTTCAAGTGATTCTCTTGCTTCAGCCTCCTGAGTAGCTGGGATTATAGGCATGCACCACTAGGCCTGGCTAATTTTTGTATTTTTAGTAGAGATGGGGTTTTTCCATGTTGGCCAGGCTGGTCCCGAACTCCTGACCTCAGGTGATCCGCGCACCTCAGCCTCCCAAAGTGCTGGGATTACAGGCATGAGCTACCATGCCTGGCCTTCTCATGTGTTTTCTGATTAAGGCTCTTGACTTCCAAGGCTGTGTGGGGAGATGGGGTGGGGGCTCTTGGACTGATATAAAACTTTGTCAAATGTAGTTCTTTGAATGGAGCTTGAAACGCCGCATATTCTTGCTCCCACAAGGATAGTGGGCATCATGAATTAATAAAACGTCCTAGGATTCTGCAAGCTAGACTGGTCTCAGGCCTCTTCTTATTGCCCCCTATCCCTAGACAAGTTAAGACTGCAAGTGGGGATTATTGGCCTTACAACATTGTTGGTAGAGAGGAATTCCACATGTTAACAACAAAATTTTAGCAACTCTTTTGCCAACAAACTTTCTTTTCTCCCGCTTTCTTAAAATACTTACCATATTCCAGGTTTTCTCACTCTCAGGAAAAACTCTGCCTTCTGTAAGTCTTCTCTTTTGGTTCCTCATCCTAAAATCCACTCTGATTTGGAGTAAATCATGTTAATTGTGTAGAAACTGAATTGTAGGGGCCCAAGTGAGCCCGCTCAAATTATATATGAGGGAACAGGCCTATAGACTATAAGTAAATTGTTGAAGGTCAAAACAATTGGTGAGTTCCAGGGCAGAGACTAGAATCCAATGCGTATTTTATGTGGAGAGCATCTAATTTATGTAATGGTGAAATAGTTACCTCAGGCCTCTGAAGTCAGTTAAAAATCAAACAAATAAAACGAGCATCAGCCCAAAGGCAAGGGAGGGCTAATCTGAACATAAAGAATTATTGGGCCAAGATCCAGAACAAATTGGAAATTCAGAAAAGTGAATCTGGAAATTGGGGCCACTTCTGCCCCAGGGCCATCTGCCAGTCCAGAAGAGGGGAATGAGAAGTGGTAGACAGAGTTTGAGCCTGTCAAGAGTGGGGGCGCCATGATACTGCCTCTGCTTTTGTTTGGCATCCTAAGAGCTATGCCCTATGAGTATGACAGAGTCAGCTCAGAATGCAGCCCTGCTATAAGTCATTGGACAGCCCAGAACTTTCCAATCCCTAGAAGTAGATTATTTTCATCCTGGTTTGCTGCTACCCAGGGGCACATTGCAGAAGCAAACAAAAATCATATTTTGGGGAAAATTACCCGTAAACCTCAAATCATGTTTATCATCAGCTTTTATAATATGATATCCGGCACATAATCAAAGGTAATTGGACAGTTGAGGAGCCGTGACAATGTAAACTAAAACCAGCACAAAAGATAGACAATAGAAACACCAGTACAGGGGCTCCAAATATTAGAATTGTCACACACAAACTAGAAAAGAGCACTGTTTTCTATGATCAAGATGATTAAAGACAAGGTTTAACATTTCAGCAGATAATTGGAAACTTAAAAGAGACACTGCATATTTGAATCAAAATAAGACAGAAATTCCAGCGCTCAAAAATACAATAATAAATGAACTCAGTAGATAAGATTTAACAAAAAATTAGATGGCTAAAGAGAGAATTTGTGAATTTTAAAGTTCAAAGAAATTATTCATAGTTTCTCCCAGGAAGACTAATATGATAAAAGGCAAAAGAATGGAAAATGCAAAAGGGACAATAAGAGACTCAAGGTAGTCAATAAGAAGATGCTTAATGGGAGAAGAGAAATTATAGAGAAGAATCATATTATATTTATTTACTTATTATTAATTATTAATTTTTAGAGACAGGATCTCACTTTGTTTCTCGGGCTGGGGTGCAGTGGCACAATCCTGGCTCACTGCAACCTTGAACTCCTGGGCTCAAGTGATCCTCTCACTTCAGCCTCCCAAGTAGCTGGGACCACAGGAGTGTGTCACCACACCTGACTAATTTTTAATTTATTTTTTCCAGTGACAGGATCTCGCCATCTTGCTCAGGCTGGTGTCTAATCCTGGCCTCAAGTGATCCTCCCACTTTGGCCACCCAAAGTGCTGGGATTACAGGCATGAGCCACCACACCTGGCATCAGAATCATATTTTAAAATCTAACATTCAAATGTTTATACTAAAACAGATAAAGAATGTCAATTCACAGAGTTTGGAAACGCTACTCAAACCCCAAGTAGGAAAATACAAAGAAATCCATCTCCAGACATATCCTAGTTAAACTGCACTCATCCAAAGACTAAGGGAAAAATCATAAAATGAAAGCAACCGAAGAAAAGGCCAAAGTACCTTTAAAGAGGCAGCGATTACAATGTCAACACATATGTCAACAGAAATAATAAAAGCCAGAAAACCATAGGATGATTCTCTCAATATGTTGGAAAAAACAAAATCTAAATACCTGGCCAACCTAGAATTATTGTATGCCCAGGAAGAACATCCTTCAAGATATTTTCAGACAAAAACTGAGAAAGTTCACCATCAGCAGACTTCCCCTGAGAAAAAGTGTAAAGGAGATTCTTTATGCACAGGAAATGTCAGAGTTGTAACAACAACAAAAAAAGAGCAAGAAAAATTGGTAAATATAATAAGTTTAAATGAATATTGACCATATAAAACAGAAATGATGTCTACAAAGTTTCAAATATATCCAGAATTAAAATAAATGATAGCAGAAGTTGGGGAGGGAAATGGAGTCAAAAGTTCTAAGGTCCTTGCATTGTCTGGGAAGGGAATAAAGTAAAATTACAATTACATTAGAGGTTGATAAAGAATGACAAAGAATACCATCATCAGTCTGAAAGAAGAATAGAAAGATGAGAAAGTGATACATAGAGTAGGCATGACAACTAGCAAGATGGTATGTATATTAGACTCTAAATACAATGTACATTGAATAAATGTCCCCGTTCCAGTTAAACGACAAAGATGGTCAAGCTGAATTAAAAAAAATACTATATGCTAGTTAGAGGAAATAGATATAAAACATAAGACTAGGGAGAATTTGAAAAGAAAAAAATAGAAAAAGATATATCATGCAAATACTAACCATAAAAGTAAGCGTAGCTATAACGGCATTAGGGATAATGTCTACAGAGTCTCATATATATCCAGAATTAAAATAAATGATAACATAGAAGTTGGGGAAGGAAATGGAGTTAAAAGTTCTAAAGTCCTTGCATTGTCTGGGAAGAGAATAAAGTACAATTACAATTACATATTTCCTATTCCTATTCCAGAGATAAGGACAGACACTTCATAACAACAACAAAAAGTTTCAACTCACTGGGAAAATATAACAATTCTAAACTTGTATATATCCAACAACATGCCCTCAAAATGAAACAACAAAAATAGAAAGAAATTAAAGGAGAAATTGGTCTGCAATTTGAGAACAAGACAAGGATGTGCTATCACCACTTAATAATTTAATGAAGATCCTAGCTGATATACTAACTCAAGAAAAAAATAAATAAAATATATAATGATTTGAAAGAACAAACCTCACAATATTTCAGATTATTTTTATAGAAAATTTAAATTATTAGAATTTAAGTAAGTTAAGTAAGGTTGCTGGTTATAAGTTTAATTTGTAAAGCTAATTTGTATTTCTAGGTAACATATGCAGTTTAAAAACTTTTAATACCATTTATAAGGACATCAAAAAATACTTTAGTGCCTAGGAATGAATCCAACAAGTTGTTCAGGATTCTATACAGAAAACTATAAATGTTATTGAGAGTAAATGAAAGAGATCTGAAAAAATGAAGAGCTATGCCGTAGTTATGATGCAATACTTTAAATATGTCAATTGGGCTGGGCATGGTGGTTCACGCCTGTAACCCCAGCACTTTGGGAGGCTGAGGGGGGAGGATCACTTGAGCCCAGGAGATCTAGATCAGCCTGGGCAGAAGACTTCGTCTCTACTAAAAATAAAAACAAAAAAATTAGCCAGGCATGGTGACACGTGCCCATCCCCAGTCCTTTGGAGGCTGAGGCAGGAGGATCACTTGAGCCTAGGAGTTTCAGGCTGCAGTGAGCTATGGTCACACTACTGCACCACTCTAGCCTGGGTGACAGAGCAAGACTCTGTCAAAAAAAAAAAAAAAAAAAAAGCCAATTGGTCTATAGAATCAATGCAATCCCAATAAAAAATGCAATAATTATTTTTGTTTGGTTTGGTCTTCTTTTCGGTGAAATATGGCAAGTGGTTCTTTTTTTTTTTCTTTTTTTTTTTTTTTGGAGACAGAGTCTCGCTCTGTCACCAGGGCTGGAGTGCAGTGGCATGATCTCTGCTCACTGCAACCTCCGCCTCCTGGGTTCAAGTGATTCTCCTGCCTCAGCCTCCCAAGTAGCTGGGATTACAAGTGCACGCCACTACGCCTGGCTAATTTTTGTATTTTTAGTAGAGATGGGGTTTCACCATGTTGGTCAGGCTGGTCTCGAACACCTGACCTCGTGATCCGCCCACCTCAGCCTCCCAAAGTGCTGGGATTACAGGCGTGGGCCACCGCACCTGGCCAAGTTGTTCTAATGGTTATATAAATATGTAAAAGCCAAAAACACCCAAGACAATCTGGAAGAAGAATTAGCAAGAGGATGGACTTAATTGAATCAAGACTTATTCTAAAGCTGCAGAAAATAAGATAAAGCAGTTTTGGTGCAAGGATGACCAGAAACGGACTAGAACAGAGAGGCTAGAAATAGCCTCCCACGATGAACCCAGCTTCATGACGAGTAGGACTGTCGTCCCAGTGTACCCCAAACAGCCTGTTTACACCTCTGGTCCTAATGTAATTAGTACTTTTGTATCTTTTATCTTTTACTCTCAAAATTTAATCCACTTGGATAATAAATCCTATCGTCATTATACTTATGACAATTGCAGCATTTCGGGGTCGAGAATTAATAGGGAAATTTTTCAATAATTTGTCTGGGACATTTAGGAACCCATATAAAAAAAATTTAAAGTTGATTCCTGCCTTACAACCTACAGGAACATTGATACCAGATGGACTGTAGACTTAACTGTGAACGAAAAACAATAAAGCTTTCAGGAGATAATAGAAGCATCTATCTTCATGAACTTGTGGAGAGAGATTTCTTAAGAAGACACACACACATGTTTTGTTACATTTAGTCCGAGGCATATGGACTTTTTTGATGCTAAATTGGACCAAATGAAAATTAAGAACTTTAGTTCTGCAAAACATAGCACTGAGGAGTGAAATGGTGAGCCTCAGGGGTAGTTTACGTAGGCCAATACCCTAAGAAGCTGTAACATCTAGCTAGGCTCTGAGAGTTTCCATTGGCAGCATTCCGATTCTAGAGCTTTTCCCACTTCACTCTGTGATCTCCCAAGCTGCCGATTAAAAAAAAAAGTAGTGAAGGCAGCCAGAGAGAGCTCTATGTAGTCACAACTTTGGAGAACTGGCTTCCAAATATCTTCCGAGTTTTTAATATTTCAGAAACACTGCCTTAGGTGACCGAAAGGAAGTGGGGGCCAATTCTAAGGTGTGAGAGCAGGGCGATCTGGTTGAGTGTTATAAAATCTGGGTGCTTTTATTTATTTATTTTTATTTCATTTATTACATTATTTTATTTTATTTATTTATTTACTTGAGATGGAGTCTCACTCTGTCTCCCAGGCTGGAGTGCAGTGGTGCAATCTCGGCTCACTGCAACCTCCATCTCCTGGGTTCAAGCAATTCTCCTGCCTCAGACTCCAGGGCAGCTGGGATTATAGGCGCCTGCCACCACACCTGGCTAATTTTTGTGTTTTTAGTAGAGACAGGGTTTCACCATAGTGGCCAGGCTGGTCTCGAACTCCTGACCTCAGGTGATCCACCTGCCTCAGCCTTCCAAAGTGCCCAGATTACAGGCTTTCCTGCCTGTAATCCTGTGTTGCCCAGGCTGGTCTCAAACTCCTGGGCTCAAGTGATCCACGTACTTCAGCCTCACAAAGTGCTGGGATTACAGGTGTGAGCTACTGCACCCGGCCTATGTCCTTGTATTCTAAATTCTTCCTTACTTGAAAAATAATCAGTATATTGTAACCTAGAATTCTCATCCCACCATAGCTCTTCTTCCAGCTTAGGGCAGGAAGAACTCGCTAATATTTAGTGAGGAATAACACGGGGCCAGCCTGGCACTTGGAATCTGATATTTGTATTTTTGTTAAGTATTATTAACACCAACCTCCTGAAAAGGGTGCTATTATCCTCATTCTATAGATGATCTCAGAGCAGAATGGAGACTTGGTCTCACTGCTCTGAAGGGCAAAAATCAACCTGATTCGTCATGAGCAGAAGTCCCTGAATTTCACCATAGGATTTTGTCAGAGGGTTGAATACATTCTAAGCTCTCCTAAGAGGTTTGGGTGCTTCAATATTAATGTTATCCTTTCACTTTTCACTGTGAAACTCTGCCAATGGAAATGGAAACTTTGATAATTTAGGAATCTTCTATAAACTTGTTCTTCACCAGGTAGACTGGGAATTGCTTGGACATAGGTAAATGACACATTTCAGTAGAACCTGCTGATTTATCATCTTTCCATGGCACAAATTCAGCAGCCTTGTCTCCCTCCATTGTCACTGCCAAGAGCCAAGATCATTACAAAAGCTTGTACATCTGGTTAGGGATAAGAAATAAACTAAAGGATACATTTGACTTAAAAAAAAAAATTCAGGACTAAGGGAGGATCTGTTATATTTCAACCTTGGAGAAGGTGATGCTTCAGAAACATCTACAGATTATAAAGTAAAAAAGCATTTCTTCAGCTGAACTTTCAGAGTTCTAATTACATATATTTAAAATGGCAGAATTGTAATGCTGGGGAGACTTCTGATCTGAAAAACCAGTCAGCAGCTGCTGTGACCACAGCTGAATACCCAGGTTGTGGAAGAGTGGTGTGGAGTGAATGAATTAAACCCCAAATCACTCTGCCCAAGGATAACTTATAGTGTGACATCTTATATGTGTTGTGTAACAAAGCTGATTTTCTTTTTGAGATGGAGTCTCTCTCTGTTGCCCAGGTTGGAGTGCAATGGCACCATCTCGGCTCACTGCAACCTCCGCCTCCCGAGTTCAAGCAATTCTCCTGCCTCAGGCTCCCGAGTAGCTGGGATTACAGGCATGTGCCACCACGCCCAGATAATTTTTGTTTTTTTGTTTTTTTTTTTTTTTTGAGACGGAGTCTCGCTCTGTGGCCCAGGCTGGAGTGCAATAGCCCAAACTTGGCTCACCACAACCTCCGCTTCCTGGGTTCAAGTGATTCTCCTACCTCTGCCTCCTGAGTAGCTGGGATTACAGGCATGCACCACCACCACGCCCAGCTAATTTTTGTATATATATATATATATATTTTTGAGACAGAGTTTCGCTCTATTGCCCAGGCTAGAGTGCAGTGGCGCGATCTCTGCTCACTGCAAGCTCCGCCTACCGGGTTCATGCCATTCTCCTGCCTCAGCCTCCCCAGTAGCTGGGACTGCAGGCACCTACCACTGTGCCCAGCTAATTTTTTGTACTTTTAGTAGAGACGGGATTTCACCATGTTAGCCAGGATGGTCTCGATCTCCTGACCTCATGATCCACCCGCCTCGGTCTCCCAAAGTGCTGGTATTATAGGTGTGAGCCACCACGCCCGGCCTGTATTTTTAATAGAGACGGGATTTCACCATGTTGGTCAGGTTGGTCTCGAACTCCTGACCTCAAGTGATCCACCCGCCTATAATATATAAAATATATATATTAAAAAATATGTATTTTAATGTCAAAAAGCCTCATGGCTGCTGAAGCATCTTATGGCCAATGGTGACATAAACAAATTCACATTAAAACACTGACTCCGCCTGCCACTTGAAGAATAATTGCAAGGTAGTCAGGAGTGGGAGCTGTGGGGTCACTCAGGGGTCATGACAGTGGCTTCCACCAGGAGCCAGAGGAGGTGGACATGAAGAGATGGACGTGAGACCTACTGGACAGCAGCATTTTGCAGTCGATAAGTTGTGGAGGGTGAAAGAAAGTGAATTTTCTATTAAAGTTTTCCTTCAGCTTTCTAGCAGTTGGGCAAATGCACATGCTACCCCTGAGATGAGAAGCCCAGAAGGCTGACAGTTCTGGTGGAACTTGGGAGTGTAGTCGTGAACACGTGGGTCTTCCAGAAGGAGATGCCACGTTGGTGGTTGGGTATGTGGATCTGCAGCTCAGAAGTGAGGTCTGGGAAGAGATGCCAACCTGGTTACCCACACCACAGAGCTATAAGATTGCATGGATGAGGCTGGGCGCGGTGGCTCACACTTGTAATCCCAGCACTTTGGGAGGCCGAGGCGGGCGGATCACGAGGTCAGGAGATCGAGATCATCCTGGCTAACACGGTGAAACCCTGTTTCTACTAAAAATACAAAAACAAAATTAGCCGGGCGTGGTGGCGGGCGCCTGTAGTCCCAGCTACTCGGGATGCTGAGGCGGGAGAATGGTGTGAACTCGGGAGGTGGAGCTTGCAGTGAGCCGAGATTGCGCCACTGCACTCCAGTCTGGGCAGCAGAGCAAGTATCTGTCTCAAAAAAAAAAAAAAAATATTGCATGGATGAGAACGTGTAGGATGTGAAGAGGGGAGGGCCCCTAAAAGAGAACCAGAGATATCCACCATTCAGATCCACCATTCAGGGCCAGGAACAGGATGAGGATGACCAAGGAGGCCAATGAGAAGTGGCCCAGGAAGGAGATGGGAGAGCTCAGGGAATAAACTGTATCACATTCTACTGAGAAGTCAGGCGAGGTGAGTTAGCAACATGGAGGTCACTGGGGACCTCAGCAAGGAAAATGTATTTGGAGTGGTGGGGACGAAAGCCAAGTTGAAGTGGCTTAAAGAGTACATAGCCCAACTCTGGCTGCAAGATTGTGGCACTAGCATAGATTTTTTTTCTTATTAATCAGCCTTGAGTCATAGTTTACATATCATCACCCACTTTAAGCATAAAGCTCAATGAACTTTGATAAGTGTATATCCTTGTGAATGCAGCACCCAAGTCAACATATAGAACACCCTGTCACTCCAGGAGTACACTCATTTTTAAATGTCACTGTAGATTTCTTTGTTCCGTAATTTTATAGAAATGGAACCGTATACTAAGCACTTTTTGTGCTTGACTTCTTTCCCTTGGCATGCTTTTGAGATTTATCCATGTTGTTACATGTGTCAGTTCATTCTTTTTTAACACCAGATAGTATTTCATTGTGTCTTAGTCTGTTTCGGTGGCTGTATCAAATCACCATAGACCAGGTGGCTCATAAACAACAGAAATTTATTGCTTACAGTGCTGGAGGCCACAAAGTCCAAGATCAAGGTACAGGAAGATTTGATGTCTGGCAAGGGCCTGCTTACTGGTTCCTAGATGGCCCTTTCTTGCTGTGTCCTCATGTGGAAGAAGCGGGGAGGCAGCTCTCTGGGGTTCCTTTTATAAGGGTGCTAATTCCATTTATAAGGGCTCTACCTTTACGACCTAATCACCTCCCGAAGGTTCCACCTTCTAATGTCATCAGCTTGGGAGTTAGATTTCACCACATGAATTTTAGGGGAACACAAATATTTAGATCACAGCATTTAGATATATACTGTAATTTAATTATCTGCATAATTTTAATGGACATAATTGAGTTGGCTCTATGCCGTGAAAGCAAATACAATTCAGCATTAGACGATCTAGTAAGAAGAAAAACAATATAATGAGAAAAAAATTATAATCATATGACAAATGGTAAAAAAGCATTTGGAAACACTTAACACCCTAACTTGATAAGGAACTTTTGCTGGAAACCCATAACATCATGCTTAGTGGTAAAATATTATAGGTATCTCCATTAAAGTCAAGACCTGTTGTTAAGGTTACCTGTTATCACCAACACCAATAAATTTTTCTAGATATAGCAGACAGTGAAATGAGTCAAGAAAGAGAACTAAAGTACAAATATTAGAAAAAGACAAAGAAAATATCTAGAAAATTAGGGAATCAATTAATAAACTGCTATAACGAATAAAGGAGACCAATAGGATAGCAAGATTCAAGGTAACTATTCAAAAATTAGTAGCTTTGCTATATAACAGTAGTGGTAAAGTAGAAATTGGAAAAAATCCCATTTACCATATCAGAAAAAAAATCTAGAGATTAATAGAGGTGCAAGAGTAGGAAGAAAACTACGAAACTTTAGCGAAAGAGACGGAAGACAATGACTACAGCACCACATTATTAGAAGACAGACTTAACATGGCAAAGACACCAATCTCCCCAAATTAATCCATAGTTCTGATGTAATTCCAATCCTAATTTGACAAACTAATTCTAAGGCTTTTCTGGAAGAGTAAATGAGTAAAAATAGGAAAAGTATTTTTGAAAGAGGGGGAAATGAGAAAGAATTAGTCCTACAGTTAAAAACTGTGGCTCTGGCTCAGAAATAGACAAACCAATAGAGTAAAAAACCATCGGGTAATAAAATCTGTGAGAATCTGTGAGAGTTCATTGTGTGATTAATGAGCCACCTCAAATCTGGGGAAAGGATGGGACTAAGTGGGTATTGAGGCTGTTCTTCGGGAAGAAGTAGTTCTCTACTTTGTACCCTGAACAAATTTCAGATAGATCAAAGTGATAAATTTAGAAGATAAAGCCACAAAAGTACTGGAACAGGATACTGGAGAATATATTTTAAATATGTGAGTGGGGAAAGGACTTCTCAAACAAGACAAAAGATCCAGAAAGTAGAAATTTAGCCATAAAGTAGAAATTTAAAGATTTGATTTCATAAATTTTGTCTACTACCCATATAAAATAATTGCACAATATATAAGAAAGGCATGGTATCCCTGAGACATGTGCCAGGAGAAGCGATCACTGTGTCCTGCCATCGGGGACAGAAGGTTGTGTCAACGACCCCTCAGATGCCTTTGTCCCTGTGGTCCTGTGATTCCAGGAAGCTGCCTTACCAGGACCAAGATGGTAAGTCCTCTGTCCACCTCTCATTGCCCTAGATGCTGAAGATTAACATAGGAGTAAGAAAAGATGGTTCCTTTGGAAGGTGGCCATCTATCTGGGGAGACAAATACCATAAGCTGGAGGCAGGGACATCCACTGCATTTTGCAGCACAAAGTGGGAAGTGACTTACTTTGCCCTGGGGAGGTCAGTTAAGCCTGGAACTGGGTTCCACACATTACTACAACACTCTTTGTTGCTTTTTTTTTTTTTTTTTTTTTGAGATGGAGTCTTGCCCCGTCATCAAGGCTGGAGTGCAGTGGCTTGACCTTGGCTCACTGCAATCTCTGCCTCATGGGTTCAATCGATTCTCCCGCCTCAGCCTCCCAAGTAGCTGGGACTACAGGCGCACGCCACCATGTCCGGCTAATTTTTTGTATTTTTAGTAGAGATGGGATTATACTGTGTTAGCCAGGATGTTCTCGATCTCCTGACCTCGTGATCCACCCACCTTGGCCTCCCAAAGTGCTGGCATTACAGGCGTGAGCCACTGCACCGGGCCCTCTTTGCTCTTTGATGATGTTTGTTTTATTTAATCATTGCAAGCATCCATTTTTCTAGTAAGGGAATGCCTTTATTTGACTTCACAAAACTTAGAAAACTCTTTACAAACAAATGAAAAAAAAAATCAACACACCCATGTATTCAGCACCCAGATCAAGAAATCCAATTCTTCCAGCACCTCAGAGGCCACAGACCCCTTCTAAAGAGCGTAGAGGAATTTTATCTATATACTGTCTTAATTTTCTTAGTTATATTTTGTGTATACATGTGTGTGGCGTCCATGATCAATCTATTTTGAATGACCAACTACCCTTGTGAAGAAAGTAAATCCTTTAGGACTAAAGTTCTATATTTGGCTTTTAGGTGGATACGAGTTTGTAGCAAATTCTAGCCATCTTTGGTTTTTCTTTCCCTAGCCTGCTGTTTTCTCTTGGATGTTAACAAACCCTTCTAGATATGAGCAATCCAGCACCAGTTAAGCAGGAAACCATTCTCTTCCTGAACAGTTGAACCACAGTTTTGTCATGATGATCCGTCAAACTCTCAGGAAGGCCTCTTTGCTTGTTACTTTTTAGAAAAAATAAAAGCTTACTTTTATTATATGTCAAAATCAGCACTGACATAGAAAACCCCAGTGAATAAAAGCCAAACAATTGCTTAATTTATTTTGCTAAGAATCACCAAGCCAGCAATCAAGTGGATCATGGGAGGAAAGTAAAAACCCTAAAGAAAATGAAAGGTGCCTGTGTTCCCCCAAACCTACCCACTCCCTGTTTCCTTTGGCTTTAGTTTTGAGCACAGCCCTTCCAAATTCCAATCTGTCACCCTGAGGAGGCTTTGCGTTGACATGATCAACAATGACATTGACATAGATTGAACTCTAAAAGGAAGATAATATCTCATACTACAAAGTGCTGAAGTGACAGGAACTTTTCTAAGTTCTAGGAGCGTATTTAATCCTCTCAACAATCTGATGAATTGGGTATGACCTGCGTCCTCATTTTACGGACGGTGACACTGAGACACACGATGTTAGGCACGTTGCCAACAGTCACAAAGGGCCAGGGTTCAACATAGACTGTCTGGCCCCAAAGCCTGTGCTCTTTTCTTTTTTTAATTTGTATTTACTTATCTATTTTCATCCTTTAAAAAATAATTTTATTTTGGATTCAGGGGTGCATCTGCAGGTTTGTTCCATGAATGTATTGCATGATACTTAGGTTTGGGGTGTGTGTATACCATATTTTCATTATCTAATCCACTGTTGATGGGCACCTGGGTTGAATCCATATCGTTGCTATTATGAATAGTGCTGCAATAAACATCCGAGAGCACGTGTCTGTCTTATAGATTGATTTGTTTTCCTTTGGGTATATACCCATTAATGGGATTGCTGGGTCACTTGGTAGTTCTGTTTTAGGTTCTTTGAGAAGTCTCCAAGCTGCTTTCTACAGTGGCTGAACTAATACACATTCTCACCAGCAGTGTATAAATTTTCCCTTTTCTCCTCAGCCTCACCAGCATTAGTTGTTTTTTGCAAAGTCTGTGCTCTTACCCACTTTACTGCCCCCAGCATAACTCAGGCTGGTGAGGGAGGTGTGACACTTCTTCATGTGCTTAAGGCAGCCTGTGGCAGACCAAAATCTACTACGCATCTTGAAGATTGTTGCTCAGATCCACGTATTAATGTTTCTGAATACTGGAAACTGTGCTCGTGGCTGGGGACCAGGAATAAGTATAGTGGAGTCCTTGCTGGCAAGGAGTCCTTTAACAGAGGAAAAAGACAGGGCAGGGTATGACATAAAGACCAGATTCTATTTGGAGCTGTTGACTCAAAGAGCAAAAGGAGATGGCCGTTAGCGTATCAGACATAGAAGCCATATTCCCCATGGGCAAAAATGAAGAATGTTCTGTAAGGGTCCTTCAAGCTATACCACCCTGTGGTCCTCACTAGTGTTCATGGTCCTGTTAAGGGATGGGACACACTGGCCAAATGCTGGTGATCAAGCCAGCAAAGCTTCACCAGGCAGGCAAAACAAGGTATCTGGCATAATTTGGATACATCACATCACTGCAGTTCATTGTGCTGAGTAAAAATATTACACACAGACCAGGTTTGTAATAAAAACAAAATATAAAAATACAAAAGCCACAAAATGTCCCAGCTGGCAGAGACTGCACTCCAAATGGGAGGGATCCTAGGCAGGAAGCACAGTTCATATTTATGGAACAGAACGGGACAGCTAGATGCTTTGGTTCTTTGGGGGAAGTATTTAGCCTAACCCAATCACAACATATATATTTTCTAACTCAGGGATTCATGAGTTATTTTCATAGATTGCTCATGGTTATTACCGAAGGTTGCTCTGTCTCTTTGAAACCAACCATGTTGCCGGGCAACAGCTTCCTTGTTGATTTCATTTCTCCTCTTATCATTGTCTCAGTAACTTCAGCAAATCTATCCATATTCTGCTCTCTCCCACACAAAATAAAGTCCCTTTACATTCCTGAATTATGAGGCAGCAGAAGTAAAAAGTGATAGATTCATCAAGCTTAATTATAAGATAAGATGCTGGATATTTTACTGCTATTTCTGCAGTCTCAGCTTTGGTTTGAGTTTGAAGCATTATGGGTCAAAATTCCTAATGATTTTTGAAAATGCCACCTGTGAGGTCTGTGGCAGAGCAAGCAGTTATACTGGGGGAAAGCAAAAATAAACTTTCAGCGTTCAGGTTCATGTGCTGTAAGTGATTTGGTCAGAACTGGATTTTCCTGGAGAGCAGGAAGGTTATGATAACCTTTGAATTTTCAACACAAATCAACAAGGCGTGTTTCCTTTTTATAGTGGTAAAAATGTTGGAGGATTTGGGAACACTGAGTGTTTATTGTACCTGAAACCAGGCTCATCTAAGCCAAGAAGAAATGTTGATAGTCTATAGCTGTTCCCGGAGGAGTCCAGTTCCTCTGCTTCCGGAGATCTTGCTTATGTAACTCTGACTAATGCCTGAAATTCCATGGCTAAGCTACACCCTGTTACCTTAAAATCTTGAGTCTTCTTTACTATAAAAATGCTTACTACAGGAATGATGGTCTTTAGCCACCTTTTACATCTTAGTAAAGATTAGTCATTTATATCTTTGTAGGAATGAAGAATCTGAGAGTGAAATATGAGTGGCAAGAAAGACAGAATGAAGGCACTGCACTCTGGATAAAATGACAAAATAACAGGCCTGAAGCACAGACTTTGGAGAAAACACTGGCCCTAAGACTGTCCCTAATTTGAGCACCCTAGTTTTCTAATGACTTACATAAATACCTGAATGCACAGATACCAGACAATACAGACTTATTTTGATTCCTCCTTCTTCTTCACCAGCACCCAATCCTCATCAACCACAAAGCTATAAAGAACTACAGATTCTCTTCCTCCTAAACCAATTCTAGTCCATGCACATAACAAAAGATCAAAATACATCGAGCAAAAACTGAAAGAACTGAAAGAAGAGACAGATAAACCCACTATTATAGTAAGAGATTGTAGTACATGTCTCTCAATAAATGAAAGAACAAACAGACAGAAAATCAGTAAAGATACAGAAGACTTGAACAACACTACCAACCAAATTGACCTCATTGACATGTATAGAACACTCTGTCTATCCAACAACAGCAGAATACACATTTTTCTCAAGGTACATGGGACACTGAGCAAGATACACCATATTTTGGACCACAAAACGAGTCTTAATACATTTAAAATTATACAAATCATAAAAAGTTTTTTCTGACCACAATAGAATTACAATAGAAATCAGTAACAGAAAGATATCTAGAAAAATCCTCTATGTAAAAACCAAACAATGCACTCTAAAGTAACCCACAGGAGAGGAAATGAAAATAAATCAAAAAGCACTTTGAAGTGAATTTAATTTTTAAAGTGAAAAAAATGACATATCAAAATTCATGGTATGCAGCTAAAGTAATGCTTAGAGGGAAATTAAAGTATCAAATGTCTATGATAGAAAAAAGAAAGGTCTCAAATTGATGATCTAAGCTTCTATGCTTAGAAGTTAGAAAAGAAAAATAATCCCAAAGTAAGGAGAAGAAGGAAATAATAAATATAAGAGCTGAAGTCAATCAAATAGAAAGCAGACTAAAAAAATAGAGAAAATCAACAAAGCTAGAAGCTGGTTCTCTAAGAATAGAAATAAAATTGATAAATCTCTAGCCAGATTGAACAGGAAAAAAAGACGCAAATTTCACATATCAGAAATGAAACAAAGGACATCACAAGATATTCTACAGACAATAAGAAAATATAATTACAAACTTTGTACTAACACTAATTCAACAACTTTGATGAATGAGTACATTTATTGAAATATAACTATCAAAGCTCACTAAAAATAAATCAATACCCTAACTATCAATTAAAGGAGTTGAATTTGTAACTAAACATCTTCCCATCAAGAGAACTCCAGGCCCAGATACTTTCATTGCTGAATTCTACTGAAAATTTAAAGAATAAATAATAATTTTATATAAACTCTCCCAGAAAGTTGAAAAGAATGAAACACTTCCCACTAATTATACAAGGCCAATATTACCATGATACCAAAACCAAAGACATTACAAGAAAGGAATACTAGACACTAAGATATATTATGATGCAGATGCAAAAATTATTAGTTAGATTTTAGCAAGTCAAACACAGCAATATACAAAAAGATAATACCTGGTGATCCAATGGGGTTTACCTCAGGAATGCAAGGTTGGTTTGACACTCAGAAATCAATCAAAGCACAATAAAAAAAATGAAGGCAATTCACCATATTGACAGATTAAAAACAAAATACTATGTTCATGACTATCTCAATATGATCATCTGGATACAGAAGAAGTGTTCAAAAATTAAACATCTATTCATACTAATACTCTACTTTCAACAATCTAGAAAGAGAAGAGAGGGCATCTCTTCTCTTTCTAGTGGCTCATACCTGTAACCTCAGCACTTTGAGAGGTGGAGGTAGGAGGATTGCTTGGGGACAGGAGTTGGAGACCAGCCTGGGCAACACAGTGAGACCCTCTCTTTACAAAAATTTTAAAAATTAGCCTGGCATGGTGGCTGCACCTGTAGTCCTACCTACTTGGGAATTTGATGTGGGAGGACTGCTTGAGCCCAGGAGTTCAAGGCTGCAGTGAGCTATGATTGCACTTCTGCATTCCACCCCGGATGACAGACTGAGACCCTGTCTCTAAATAAAAGAAAGAAAGAAAGAAAGAGAAGAGGACTTCCTAAACCTGATGAAGAACACCTACCAAAAAACCTACAACCTAACATACTTAATGGTGAAAGATTGAATACTTTCACCCTATGATCGAGAACAAGGCAAGGATATCTGTTCTCATCACTTCTATTCAACATCATATGGGGGGGTTTTAACCAGTGCCACAAAGCAAGAGAA
Source organism: Homo sapiens (assembly GCF_000001405.40). Lineage (NCBI taxonomy): Eukaryota > Metazoa > Chordata > Mammalia > Primates > Hominidae > Homo > Homo sapiens. Next base: position 2,815,648 of record NC_000006.12, on the reverse strand, counting down.
AGAAATAAAGGCACCCAAATTGAATAGAAAGAATTAAAATAGCCTTTATTCATAAACAACATGACAATCTATGTAGAAAATCCTAAGGAATATACAAAAAGCTACTTAGCAAAGTTTCAGGATGAAAGGGCAATATGCAAAACATCAGTCATAGAATCATTATTTCTATACATTCACAATGAGCAGTCAGAAGTTGAAATTTAAAAATATCACTTGCACCAGCATCAATATAAGATACTTATTAAAAGTTTGACAAAATATATGTAAGATTTGTACACTGAAAACTGCAAAACAGCTCAAAGAAAGGAAAGAAAACAAAACAAAAATGATGAGAATTACCATGCCTGTTGACTGGAAGATTCAATACTGTTAACATGTGAATTCTCCCCAAATTGATCTGTTGATTAATACAATCCCAGTCAGAATCTCAGCAGGCTACTTGTGGAAACTGAAAAGCTACATCTAAAATTTACATGGAAATGCAAAAGACCTAGAATAATCATGTCAAAGCAACTTTGAAAAAGATGTAAAACGTTAGAGGCTTTAAAATATTTTATTATTATTATTTTTAGCAGAGGTGAGGTCTTGCTATGGCACCCAGGCTGGTCTCAAACTCCCAGGCTCAAGCAATCCTCTCATCTCGGCCTCCCCAGATGCTGGGATCACAAGCATGAGCCACTGTGCCCAGTCTAAAATGCCTTATTTTAAGACATGTTATAAAGATCCAGTAATCAAGGTAGTGTGATATTGAGATTAAGGATATATATATACACACATATATATATGTATTCTATATTATATATACACATGGGGCAGAATAGAGAGTCCAGAAATAGACCCACACATATACGGTCAATTGATTTTTAACAAATGTGCCAAGGCAATTCTATGGGGAAAGTAAAATCTTGTCAACAAATGGTTCTGGGACAATTTGACAGCCATATGCAAAAATATGAATCTCAACACTATTCCTTGTGTATAATTTTAATATGCAAAAATGAACTACAGAATGAAGCATAGACCCAAATGCAAGAGCTTAAAAAAGCATAACTTCTAGAATAAAATATATAAGAAAATCTTAGTGACACTGGGTTTGTCAAAGAAATCTTCAGTATGACATAAAACAATCAAACTATTTTTTTTAAAAACAGTATATTGGATTTTATCAGAACAAAAAAACTCTTTTCTCCTCAAAAGCAAGCCATAGACCAGGAGATAATATTTGCAAGACATATATTTGACAAAGGACTTGTATGTAGACTGTATAAAGAATACTACATAATAAGAAGACAAACAGCCCAATTTATTTATGTTTTTAATTTTTATTTTTATAGATGTATGGGGTACAAATGCAGTTGTGTGATACAGATTTATTGCATAGTGGTGAAGTGTGGGCTACTAGTGTACTCATCACCCGAATAGTGTCCATTATGCCCAATACGTGGTATTTCATTCCTCACACCCTTCCTACCTTCCACCTTTCTGAGTCTCCACTATCTATTACTCCACTCTGCATGTCAATGTATATGCACTTTTTAAAAAATGGCCAAAAGATGTGAACAGACACTGCATCAAAGAAGATATATAGATGGTAAATAAGCACATGAAAATATGTCCATACTTAATGGTACTTTACTTTCGTCCTATGATGCCCATACTTTCATCCTGTGATAAAAAACAAGGCAAGGACCATCATTAGTCATGTAATGATCGTCATTAGGGAAATGCAAATTAAAACCACCATGAGATGTATACCCACCAGAATAGTTAGAATTAAAAAGACTGATCACACTAAATGTATATTCTGGGGGCAATGTCAACTATTACACCACTTTGGAAAACAATTTCTTTTTTTTCTTTTAGAGATGGGGTCTTGCTATAGTGCCTAGGCTGGTCTTGGACTTCTGGCCTCAAGTGTTCCTCCTACCTCAGCCTCCCAAAGTTCTGGGATTACAGGCATGAGCCACTGTGCCTGGCTTGGAAAACAATTTACTAAAAAATTAAATATATACCTGACATGTGACCCGGTCATTCCACTTCTATTAATAGGTGTTTACCAGAAAAGAAAGCATAGACCCACACAAAGACTTGTATGCACAAATTAATAGTTTTATTTGCAATAGCCAAAAACCAAAAACAACCAAAATGTCAACCAATAGACGAATGAATAAACAAATTGTCATATATTCATACAGTGGAATACTACTTAGCAAAAAAAAAAATTATTGATAAACTTTACAACATGTGTGAATCCAAAAATACCTATGTTGAGTGAAAGAAGCAAGACAAGAAAACAGGTGGGGCGTGGTGGCTCATGCCTGTCATCCCAGCACTTTGGGAGGCCGAGGCAGGTGGATCACGAGGTCAGGAGATTGAGACCATCCTGGCTAACACGGTGAAACCCCATCTCTACTAAAAATGCAAAAAATTAGCCGGGCGTGGTGGCGGGCACCTGTAGTCCCAGCTACTCGGAAGGCTGAGGCAGGAGAATGGCGTGAACCCGGGAAGTGGAGCTTGCAGTGAGCTGAGATCGCGCCGCTGCACTCCAGCCTGGGTGACAGAGCAAGAATCCGTCTCAAAAAAAAAAAAAAAAAAAAGACTAGAAAAGAGTATATATTATAGAATTCTTGTAATTGCTAACTAGTCTGCAGTGACAGAAAGCAGGTCGATGATTGCCTGGACTGGGGAAGGGAGGGAGGGATTATAAAAGGGAATGAAGAAATTTGGGGGGCTAAGGGATATGTTTGCCATCTTGATTGTGATGATGATTTCACAGGTGTATACATATGTCAAAACTTAGCAAATATATACCTTAAATATGGGCAGTTTACGATATGTCAATATACCTCAACAAAGCTGTTAAAGAAATCTCTGTCTCCAACCCATTCCTTCTTTTTTTTTTTTTTTTTTTTTTTTTTTTTGAGATAGAGTCTTGCTCTGTGGCCCAGGCTCAAGTGCAGTGACGTGATCTCGGCCCATTGCAACCTCCGCCTTCCAGGTTCAAATGATTCTCCTGCCTCAGCCTCCTGAGTAGCTGGGATTACAGGACTGTGCCACCACACCTGGCTAATTTTTGTATTTTTAGTAGAGACAAGGTTTCCCCACGTTGGCCAGGCTGGTCTTGAACTCCTGACCTCAAGTGATCCACCCACCTCGGCCTCCCAAAGTGCTGGGATTACAGGCGTGAGCCACCATGCCCAGCCCATTCCTTCTTTTCCATTCCCACTGACACCATCCTATGTTCAGGCCCTAATTATACCCCACCTCTGTTAACATCTTCATTGTTGTTTACTGTTGCCCTAACACCCTCCAATCAACCATTCATCGATGCCACAAGATCCAGCTTCCTAAAATCCAGCCATACCAACATACCAGTACACCAACGGCCTGCTCCAAGATCTTCAACAACTCCTATTATCCACTGATTTAAGGAATGATGATAGCTCTATGTGCCAGAAACTTTACATACATTATCTTATTTAATCTTTTCAGTAATCTTTCAATGTAAGTGTTATTACCCTCATCCCCGTTTTCAGGCAGGACTTGCCCAGGTTTGCACAGCAGCACCAGAAAAACCCCGTGTCTGTCTGACTGTATGACCCTTCGTCACCTCTTTACAATACATCCTGCTGTAATCTAGGCCGCTGGACATTCACAATGGCTCTCTAGTTCATCTTTCTAGCTGTGTCTATCACTACCTATATCTTATAGGGTCTACATTGTTGAGCCATATAAAGGTGCCATTTTTGTAGGTCAAAAATGGTGAAGTGTGGACAATTTCAAGTGGTTCAACTATATATGTGTATATATATTGGTGTACATATACATTTATAAAGATACATGTACAGTTTTGCATATTACATATGCATACATATATGTGCAGTAAGTCTTCACTTCACCAATAGGTTTTTGGAAACTGCAATTTTAAGTGAAACAATGTATAACAAAATCATGTTTTTTTCTCCTTTACGTTATAACAAAATGATATGAATGAAATGATATTATTGGAGGACTTGCTGCACATTATCAGTTCTCTTGAAGTCAAAGTGCCGTGGACAGTTACTATATATATATATATATACACACACACATACCCTCATATACGTGTCTGTGCGTATATATATTCTGTATCAGTATCTCTCACCCAAGGTGATTTTTCCCCCAACCCCAAGGTCAATTGGCAATGTCTGGAGACATTCCGGGTTGTTACCACTGGGGTCGGAGTGTCACTAGCATCCAGTGGGTTGACAGCGAGATGCCGCTACACAGCCTACAGCTCACAGGACAGCCCCCACAACAAAGAATTATCCGGCCAAAATGTCAGTCATGCTGCAGCTGAGAAACCATTTCCTCTATTGAAGAAGAGCTGTGGATGCCCTGTCTTCTTTCTGGAATGCTGATTTCTGCCATCTCCACCTGTTGAAATACTGCTTACCCTCCAAGATGCCTTCAGTGCTCTTTGCACCTGGATCTTTTGCTGGTGGAGAGGCATCCTCGCTCATGTCCTTGGCCCTCCACTGCTATTTAACATGCACCACATATTACTTCTTTGAGTTACCATTAGCATTTCTGTCTTAAAGCTGAAAATATAATAGACTTACCGTAAACTCCACAAGGGCAAATACCCACTTCTTGCTTATCTTTGTACCTTCTTTAGATCCTAGTAATTTAACTAAAATACAAAGCAGACCATGAAAAGTAATGGAATATTAAAGATACTGTACTAGCCTTATTGGACTGTACAAAAAAATTAATTCTGGTCAGAAGACTTCTAGGAGATGGCGTTGAACCTGCCCTGTTCCTAGCAAATTTTCTCTCTGACAAAGTACCAACTCTTTTGCAATTATGTGTGAAAGTGTTTAAGCTTCCAACCTGTGTGAGTATTTAGGGATCCTTAAGACTGCTAAGTTAATTGGGGTGATGGCTTTTCTGAAATGCTAGGTTTTATAAAATTAAGGACCACACCTGAATTATACAGCACAGTGCAATGTCCGAATGATGACCGAAGCCTGCCTCTGTGGGTGATAAGGCATAGCATTGCCTAGGTGGGGAGTCACCGAGGCCTGCAGTATTGACTATGTTATGATGATTGTGAAACAGTCTCTACATATTTAAGAGGCACTCCTTTTCACAGAGTAAGAAAAGCTAACCCGTAGGACAGTCAGCCACCTCCATTACACAACTGTAACCTCAAGCATAAGTTTGTAGAGTTCCCAGAATTACCCTCACCATCCCTCTTGGGAGTTCCCCTCTTTCAAAAACCTCTGGACTCCTTTCTGTCTCAGCAGAGACTGAAGGGAGGGAGGGAGATGACCAAATCCTTAATCAGAAACTTCCTGACCACACCTGTGCCTTACCGGCTCATGAGTAGCACCTGTTCCCCAGGATAGACACCTGAGTCACCCTCTTACTAATTCTCCTCTGGCCAAACCCCAGAATCTGTCAATCCCGCTCTGTCCTCACCCGCCTTCATCGTGGGAGATTTCACCTTCTCTTGCCCAGCCCATGGGAACAGCCCATGATTCAACTCCACTGCAGCCGCAGTTCACAATACAGAATTCTAATCCAAGGAAGTCGCTCCTTTGACTGAAAACCTTCCATGACTCTCCATTACCTACCAATCACTAGAGCACAATTATAACTCCAAGTACTAATCTGTTTTCCCCACACCAGGTGTTCCTCTGTCTTCTCTCCCACCACACCCAGGGAAACCCCTGGTGTCCAGGAAACCAAAGCTAAAGATGAAAAACTTCTGACTTTGATGTCGTGGTTTCCAAGTGCAGCCTAAGGTAGAAAGATTTGGAGGCATATTTGAGCCTTTCTGATTGCAAACCCTTGCTAAGACTGGCCTGGGCTGCAAGACAAGATACTGTGAGTGGTGGGGGAGGAATTGGCACAACTGAGGAAGGCGAGAAAGGAGTCAGGTGAGTGAGGTCCTCGGTGCAGTAAAAATGGGTGGAGGAACAAGAGAGCAGAGATAACTTGGGCCCAGTTGTCCTCAGACTAGTCCATTGCCTTGGACAGCCTGTTCTCCCATAGTCCTGGGTGCATACAGAGTCCTGAATAGAGGGACTTATATGGGGAATCAGGCTTGAAGGGGAGGTTGTGCTCGTCAATGGAAGTTGAACAGAACGAAGTCGGTAGAGAATTGATTTTCACTTAGGATGGGTGAGGATTTAGCTCTCGGCTTCCACTATTCCCTTTGCTTCCTATCACCATCTTCTTTGGTTATAATTTTGGATTAAATAACATTTGGTATTAATATTTTTATAATCACACAAGGGTTATTCACAACTGAGCAGCATCATAAACTCTGATTGGTCCCTTCTTGCTTTGATGTTTTTCCTGAGGATAATAGTTGCCTTGTTTTTCATTGCTCAGTTTCTTTGTGCCTGTAATTTTCCCCATGCTTTTCAATAGCCTCTCAGTGCTATTCTCAGCAAGGTCAATAACCTCAGTTAATCAGCTGGGTCCACTTTGTTTGTGGAGATATCCTCCGCTGCAAACCTCTTTACTCTTCTGTCTGGAATGATTGCATAGGTCGTATCCTGGGACTTCCCTTTACATCCCCCCAACCCAGCTTTATTGAAGTATGATTGTCAAATAAAATAAAATATGTATATACTTAAAGTAAATAACATATGTATGCCTTGTATTCCTCAATCAAGCTAATATATTTATCACTTCACATAGTTATGTGTGTATGGAATTTCAAGTGTACAGTATATTATTAAGTGTAGTCACCATGCTGTACTTAGATTCCCAGAACATATTCATCTTACTACTGCAAGTTTGTACCCCTTGACCAACGTCTCACCATTCCTTTCCCTGCTTCCCAGCCCTTGTCCATCCCCATTCCACCTGCTGTTTCTAGGACTTCTTTAGGTTCCACATATAAATGAGATCATGCAGTACTTGTCTTTCTGTGTCTAGTTTATTTCACTTAATATTATGTCCTCCAGGCTTATCCATGTTGTCGCAAATGCAGGATTTTCTTTTCTTTTTTTAGGGATAAATCACATTTTATTGTATATATACCACATTTTTAATCCATTCGTCCATCACTGGATCCTTAGATTGTTTCATTATCTTGGCTATTGTGAGTAATGCAGCAATAAACATGGGGCTGCAGAGATCTTTTATATCCTTTGCATATATACACAGAAGAAGGATTGCTGGATTATATGGAATTTATTTCTTTTCTTTTCTTTTTTATTTTAAGAGACGACCTGTCACTCAGGTTGGAGTGCCATGGTGCAATCATAGTTCACTGCAGCCTCGACCTCTCAGGCTCAAGCAATCATCTTGCCTCAGCATCCTGAGTAGCTGGGACTACAGGTATGTGCCACCATGTCCAGCTAATATTTTTACTTTTTGTAGAGGTAGGGTCTCACTATGTTGCCCAGGCTGGTCTTGAACTCCTGGCCTCAAGCAATCCCTTCTGCCTCAGCCTCCCAAAGTGCTGGGATTACAGGCGTGGGCCACTGTGCCCAGCCTCTCATAAGGCAGTTTCATTTTTAGTTTTATTTTTGCAGAGCCTTCATACTGTCTTCCATAGTGGCTGTGCCAGTTTACATTCCCGTCAACCGTGGGAATGTTTCCTTTTCATCACATCTGGCCACTTGTTATCTTTTGATTTCCCCCCAGCTGTATTTAGATATGATGAACAAATCTTTTTACTTTAACTCATGGAATTCCTTCTGCCTTTTTCCTGCTTGGATTCTCTGTTTCCTGGATCTCACATCTTCCTATTTTTTGACTTTATCTCCTTGGTTGGTGGAGCACATCCTCCCATTGTTTCATCCCAGGGAGGAGGTGGCACGAGGCTGAGGAGGCAGTGACATCGATAGTGGCGTGCTGCCTCAGAGTCACACGGCCTGTTCTGGCTGGGGTGCCTGCTGTGCCCTACACTTATTTGTCATTGCAGAATTTTTTATTGTTGTTCAGCTGAAGATTTACATCATCCTAGAGATTTCCATTTCCTTCTAGGTTGGACTTCTTAATATTCTATATTCCATGTCTTCCTTTATCTTGGCTCATTCTCTTCTTTGGGGGAAGCTACCCTCTGGCTGCTTCCTGGAAAATGATATGGGCAATTACTTTTGTTGTTGTTGAGAACTTACATGTCTGCACCTGTTTTGTGCTGCCATCAGATCTGCTCGATAGTTGTGGTTAGAATTCTACTTGGGAAATCATTGTCCTTTTGGGTTTTGAAGGCAATACTCCATTGCCTTCTATTTTTCCAGTGTTGACATTTGCAAGTCCCCGATCCTTTGTATGTGACCTGTCTTTTTCTTCGGAAATTTGAAACACATTCTCTTTACGCTCGGTATTCTGAAATATCATTTTTCTTGGGCGTCTGACAATTGGTTTTCCTGGGGCTAAGAGTGGGGGACTAGACAACTGATTACAAGCTCTGTGCACCTAGGCGGTCATCGTCAGCTTGCAGCTTATTCTAGGATGGACCATTCTCAGGGTCTCTAGGTTTTTCCTCTTTCACTGATTAGAATCCCAGGGGAGACTTCCAATTTCCTGCCTAGATATTAAAGATCTGGCTGCCAATGTTCTGAGAAGCAAGTTAGGAAGAAGGAAGTGAGTTTCTGCATTGGTATTTATATGTACAGGTTCATTTAATCTCCACATAGGCCAAAGACCCTCTGTTCTACTCTTTCCAGACTTCTACTCTGGGCAGCCTTCCTGAGCCTTGGAGTTTAAGTGCCCAGTGGGTTCCTCTTGCCTGCTGTCCAGACAGAGTTGATTTATTAAGGCAAGGAAGTTGAAACAGAGAAAGAGTTTTGCACACGTAGAGCTGGCTGAATGGGAGGTCAAGGTTTTATTATTCCCCAAATCAACCTCCCTGAAAGTCGGGAGGTTAGGGTTTTTCAAAGATTGTTTGGGGTAAGAGAGGAGTGGTGGCTAGGCTGGGTGTTTCCTGCTGATTGGTCAAGGCTGCCATCACTGGGCTGTGGGAAATGGTTCTCCTGGCGCTGAGTCACTTCTGGTTGGGGCCACAGGAGGGGTTGGTGGGTCCAGGTGGGGTCATCAGTGTCAGACATGCAAAAAACCTGAAAAGACATCTTAAAAGGCCAATCTTAGGTTCTACAATAGTGATGTTATCTTCAGGAGTCATTGGGGAAGTTACACACCTTGTGAACTCCGCAATAATGTCTGGTAATAATTTATGTGTACACCTTAGCAGAATTTGGGCTCCTCTCATCCTCCCAGCTTGGTGGCCTTTCATTAGTTTTACAAAAGCAATTTTGTTTGGAGAAGGACTATTATCATTTAAACTATAAGCTAAATATCTCCCAAAGTTAGCTTGGCCCAAGCCCAGGAATAGTTAAGGGCAGTTTGAAGGCTAAAGGCAAGAAAGGAGTTGGCTAAACCAGATTTCTTTCACTGCCATGATTTTCTCACTGTTATAATTGTTGCAAAGGTGGTTTCAGGGGGACTGGCTCACAATGGACTCTGGGCTTCTGTTTTCTCTTGCCACCTATCTACAAGCAAGAATCCCACTTCATGTAACTAGATTTGGGGTGGGGTGGGGATGGCGTGTTCTGTCTCACCAGACTCAGACAAGTTGTTAACCAGTTCCCTGTGAACCTACTTCACAAAACTGGCCCAGTGAGCAGGGTCTGGTCTGACAGGACCATGGCTTCTTGGCAAAGTGGGAGGGTGGTACCCCTCAGTACCCAGCCCAGGCAGAGACATCAGCCTGGGGGTGCAGGGGGCTGGACATGAAGCTGGAAGTTTTATAGAGAAGGAAGGGTGATAAGTGGAACAGAGGTCACCCTCCCTACACACACAAACACACACACACACACACACACACACACACACACAGATGAGAGAGAGCTGGCTGTAGGGACTGACATGGGGAGAAAAGAATATGGAAATGAGAGCATGGCACACAACCCCCTGGTTGCTGGGCACTCATGTGATCACTCATTCCCGGGGCTGGAGAGTTCAGGAGTGGGTACGCAGGTGGACCCTGGGGTACCCGAGAGGGAACCCGCATGCACAATGTGGGTCTTCACAGAAAAGGAGAATTTGGATCTAAGGGACAGATGTGGGCAAAATGCAGGGGAGGCCATGTCGTGGCTCTCTGGGATAGCTGATGAGAGAGGACAGAAGAAATGGTGCAATTAAGGGTGGGGACAAGGTCTCCAGGCCCCCACCATGCTCCTGTCAAAGAAGAGAAAAATTAAACTGATGCCATCGGCAGGTTTGAGGACAGACATGGCGACTGACAGTGCCTATTTGCTGTGGGTGGGGCCCTTTGAGCCATTTTGGGCACAGTGACCACGGTTCCCACCTCTGCACTGTAGCAGGGGTCCCAACCCCCTGGGCCACAGACTGGTACTGACCTGTGGCCTGTTAGGAACCAGGTCGCACAGCAGGAGGTGAGCATGGACGAGGGAGTATCACCACCTGAGCTCCGCCTCCTGTCAGAACAGCGGCGGCATTAGATTCTCACAGGGGCACGAGCCCCACTGTGGACTGCGCATGCGAAGGACTTAGGTTGCGTGCACCTTACGAGAAGGTAATGGTAAATATAATGGGCTTGAATCGTCTTGAAAGCATCCACTCCCCTGTCTTGGAAAAACTGTCTTCCACAAAACCAGTCCCTGGTGCCAAAATGGTTGAGGACCTCTGCATTATAGGCATCGACACTTGGGCTGCTGTGGCACAGAACGTCACACCACCTAGACGGCATGCCCTCACAGCAACAGCGGCGCAGATCCACTCCTGCCTACCACCTAAGCTCCCCAAGCCCCAGTGGGGTGTTCAACAAAAGCAGTACTGAATGCAAAGTGGAGAACAGGACTTTGCGTTAATTCTGATAAAAATGTTACAAACCATTCTGTCGCAATGTGACGGTTGACTTTGGCTGGTCAAAAAGACCTTCAGGGGATGGAGACCAACAACAGACTGTTGCAGGCTGAACGCCAAGGCCACTTGGGCAGGAAGCCAAAGAAATATCCCAGATGCCATCAAGCAAAAACTGTTGGCCTGGCAGCATCCACTAATCAAGAGGAGGTTCCATAGCAGGTAGGTCTCTTTGAGTGCTGGAGACAGCATATACCCACCTTGTGTTCTTTTGCCCTCCTTAGTCAAGGTGACAGGCAAAGCTGCCAACTTTGAACAGGGCCCTTTGTAATAGCAGGACTTGGAAGTCACTTAACAACTTTTGTCTGGGGCACAGCCTTTAAAACTTTTAGAGTCTGCTAGCCCAATGGAATTATAGGTGTCTGCCATCTCCACACGTGCCAATTGGAGCCTCTTGCAACAGGAAACTGCCACTGGGGTGCACCGGCCTCAGGTTTTGGACACGTAATTCCTAAAGCAGCCCCCAGATGTACATCTATTGAATGGCAACTGCTTGATTGCTACTGGGCAGTGCAGGAAACTGGACATCCACATGTGATGTTGCAACCTGAACTGTCCAACTTGAATGCTTACAAATTCCACCAATAAAATCAAACAGGCTCATCAGAGCTCAACTGTTAAGTGAAAATAGTACCTTTAAGATTGGATCCAGCCAGTATCCAAGGGGCCGGTGGGCTTCATGAATAATGGCTAGCTTGACAGAAGGTACCATGTGAGCTGACAGGGGTGCTTCAGCTCCTCCTGGGGCTACCTGGGACCCAAGATTCAGATTCAGAGACTGGACTGCCTATGATATGGCATGGCTTACTGACAGCTCTGCAAAACAACGAGCAGACAGGGTCCACTGGGCTGCGGCCACTGTCCAGCCAGTGAATGGCTGTCTTTCAATTGAGACTGCACATGGATGTTCTGTCCAACGGGCTGGACCACAGGCAGGGGTGATGGCCATGCAAGCCACCACCATATCTTGTTAGATATTCACTGATTCATGGACTGTGGCTAACAGCCTACATGACTGTTCAGGAGAATGGCTACTGAGTGGCTGGACTATTAAAGGGTTTCCTGTTAAAGGACTATGACAATAGCTTGCTGCCTGGAAGGGACACAGAGATGTCACTCAAGTGGATGTTGAGACTACCATGGCCGCCCTTGAGAGGAGCTTCTGTCATGTTTTTGGATATCCCGGAACCTCACTCTGCCCAAGGAACATCCTTCACTGCCTTAGCAGTATAACAGTGGGTGCGTACTCACGAAATAGGATAGACTTTCCACGCGCGCTGTCACCTGCAGGCCAGCGGGGCTGCTGAATGATGGAACCATTGCCCACAACGAAACCGAAGACAGGACATCAAGATGGCCTGCTAGCGGGGTGACACCATCTGACTAGGGTATTATGGACCCTAAACTCTGTACTCCCGCACAAGGGAAGTGCCAAGACCAGCTCAGTCAGGGAGACCCTAACCCAGCGGCGCTAGAGGGAAGCGTGACACTGCAGGGCACATTGAGAGACACTGGGCTTGTAAGGGTGACGGTGATGGGGGGGCGGCAGGCAGCCACCTGATTAGGCTGCACCTGTGAAATCCCAATCTCAGCATTCCCAACCATTCTTTTTCCCTTCTCCCTTTAGAGTGCATGTCCTGAAGGTGGTTTGTGGTTCAGGCTGCCATAGTACCCCAGACAGGGCCCCCAACTTGAACCTGGACTCAATACTTCCCCTGGGGGTCTCCCCTCTATGGGGTCCCACAGGAGTGGGGATGGGACCAAGGAATACCAAAGCGCTAGGGTCTCTCTAGTGGCAGGGGGAACATCTGACTTTCCACTAGAATGGGCAACATTATCGGACATGTTGTTTGTACAGGACGTGATACCCTTTCCTGGACTAGATGACTGAGGCCTGAAGGTCTGAGTCATGCAACAGGGGCCATGGGTGCCACAGAGGTAGTGGCCTGGGCTGGGGCAGACAGACTTGGTCACTGCAGCAACTCAGCCCACCCTTGTCCACAGGTGGGGAACACCTGGAACTGCGAGTGGGGGAGGGGCACTAATGTGTCTGCTTTTCCACAAAGACGTGGGAGCAGACGCCCAGGAGCCCAATGCCTTTGTCAGGCTCTCTGAGCTGTAGCCCTCCCAGGCAACCTGGCAAACTGCTAGATCTGCCCTTCTGGACCTCGTTCTGTCCCTGACCAGAGCAACCCTCTCATCCCATCAGCGGTGAATGACATCTGTGTGTCTGACACCACCACACACCCAACGGGGCCTGAGCCCTGGCTGACGGAGGGAGGCTCTGGCACCCAGGCATGGGAGGGAGCTGGAGGTGCCATGTTTTAACTTAACCGATTCTGCAGCAAAATGGCATGAACACGACTAATAAGCCTCTCCATGGGCTGGTCCTTTGACACACCACACTCCTTTGTTTCCATGGACAGGAGGTGTCCCCATGCAATAAAGAAAATAAGAATTGGATTAGTAGCAGCCATCTGTGCAGGGGAGACTGAGCTCCGCAACTCTGTGTCCATGAGGCTTGGCTGGTGAGTGCCAGTGCCTCCACACCCCCAAGTAGGCACTGAGCAGTAACGTGGGGGAAGGGCTACACCTTTCTCTGTGGGCAGCCCTGGGATGGGCAATGTCATGCCAGCAAAGCTGGCAGATGGTGGGATCCTGTACACTGGGTGTGCTGGGAGCAACCTGGCTATCACCCCTGGGAATGGGCCATACCATTGGGCCAACAATCTGGGGCTTTACACCAGACTTGCTAGGGACCTGTCAGGAGGAGTAACAGACCGGGTTTATGTCCCCTAAGGGATCTCTGGTACCATCGTAGGAGTCAGTGCTCATGAAAAACAAAAGAAAATGTGGCACATATACACCATGGAATACTATGCAGCCATAAAAAATGATGAGTTCATGTCCTTTGTAGGGACATGGATGAAATTGGAAACCATCATTCTCAGTAAACTATCGCAAGAACAAAAAACCAAACACCGCATATTCTCACTCATAGGTGGGAATTGAACAATGAGATCACATGGACACAGGAAGGGGAATATCACACTCTGGGGACTGTGGTGGGGTCGGGGGAGGGGGGAGGGATAGCATTGGGAGATATACCTAATGCTAGATGACACGTTAGTGGGTGCAGCGCACCAGCATGGCACATGTATACATATGTAACTAACCTGCACAATGTGCACATGTACCCTAAAACTTAGAGTATAATAAAAAAAAAATTAAAAAAAAAAATTTAAAAAAAAAAAAGAAAAAAAAAAGACACCTGTCCCTGAGCATGGCAGGTATCACTGCCTCCACCGCCTCTGCCTGGGCAGCCAGCCGCCAGCCCTTGGCTCCTTCTGGAAGGCTGCTTCAGATGACAGGATTGTTCAAGACTGTCTTCCCTGACCAAGAAGAGTGTGCATGTCAGGGATTGCAGAGACACAAGGAGAGGAGATCTGGAGGCAGACCCACTGGGTCACAGTGGGGCCACCTAAGGACTCTTCTCCAACTTCGTTACCTGGATCACTGGGATCCTGGGCCAGACTGCTGCTCCCAGCAGGCCTGGCCATCCTGCTGTGGTTGTGGTCCCCCGGGCCTGGTGAAGTGTAACCTGGCTATGGCTCAATGACATTGCACTGAGCCTGTGTCCGTCAAGGTGTTACATCAACCTGACAAGACACGCCTCCGTCTCCAGATCTGGAGAGGTCGGAGGGCAGAGGCAATGGACTGGCTTTGTGGAAGGGGCTACCTGGGTTGGGAGGTGGACTGCAGGACAGCTCTCCAGGTGACCGTGGACTAACCCAGTTCTGCCCCACTTCTCACTCATAGCTGTCAAGAATAATCATAGAATATGCTGGAATGCTGCATCCCGAGATAGGGAGGGACTGACTGGGCCTGCCTGGGCTCTGTCCCAGTCTCCCCTAGAAACAGGACGTCCTTCAACACTGCAGCCCAGTGTGTCCTGTGACCCCAGGGTATAAAACCCAGGGCAGGCTGCTTTCTGGGGGTCCCTCAACTGTGGTGCAAGTAGGGTACACACAGATGAGACTCCACCCGCCCCGGGCAGCTTTCCTGAGCCTTGGGGACCGGCTTGCAATGGAGCCATGGCTTCTGCAGTCCCTTGCCGTTCATCTGTGAGTAAGAAATCCACTTCATGGTGTTTGTTGAATTTGACTGTGTTCTATCTCACCAGGCTCAGACACGTTCATAAACAGTGCCCAGTGACACTGCTTCACAAACCCCTTCTAGACCTTTCTCCAGTGAGCCTGGACCATCCACAGAAACTCCGAGGGAACTAAATGGAATATCACGGGAAGGCATAGGGTCAGCGGAGGAGCTACCTTGGTCTGTTACTCACGTACTTAGTGAAGGCAGTCAGGTTTCCAGTTAAATTCTCCATATCTGTAACCTATGGTCACTGTGCTAAAAATAATGTGCCATTTTTTATTTGCAGGCAGTGGTATTATCGAGCTGATTAGATTAGGGATTGGTGTTTACTAGCTATATTAATGGAAAAAGTTATGATCAGACACATTATCTGCCAAACTATCTTTGCTTTTGATCTTTCCTGTTCCCACCATGGTGTTTCGGTCACATTGTCAGTGGATGACACGTGGTTACTGTGGAAATTGGATTAAGTGACTCAGAAGTTCCTTTCCAGTGCTGTGATGCTATGTGACATGGTGTTGATTATCTGCAAGTGGTCTAGTCTTAGGGCTCGAACGCAGACCGTCACCCAGCTCCATTTACTTATGTATGTTCTAACAACACAGGAAAAAGGACCTCCAGAAGTGAATGCCCCAGAACGAGTGTTTGACACTCCTGACTTTGCAGGTGGACAGAAAAACCACATCTGTCCAGGCCCCAGCACAGGAGTATGATCCTGGCCACTTCTAAAAATACTCAGGATCAGAAAGAAAAATCTTTACTTTGACTAGAAAGTGTTATTATATAGGAGACTTTCAAGATCTGTAGCAAAACACCTTCTATGTGCCATGCATTTTGTATTCATTTTTGAACTCTCTGGTCCTACATGTAGGTGTCATTTGCTCAGTTTTACGAATGAAGGATGGAGGTTCAAGGTGTGGCTGCAATGAGCCAGGACTGGAAACCAGGCTTAAGTGCAAAGCCATGCTCTCTCCACAGCCTCTGCCCCTTAGTGAGGGATGTGGTATCAGGGGATGGGGCCTGATGGAGAGGGACAGAGGTAAGGGAGGAGCAGCTGCCAAGCCTGGCTGCTTCTGATTGAAATTGAAGCAAACAAACAAACAAAAACTAGAGTAAAAGGACGTTCCCACCAGACTTTTATAGTTCTTGAAGACAAAGACACTCTGCTTACCTCCATTTCAAAATACATTTTGAGTTTCCTTTTTCAATAGAAAATCCAGGCTGGCCACAATGGCTCACACCTGTAATCGCATTATTTTGGGAGGCCGAGGAGGGCGGATCACCTGAGGTCAGGAGTTTGAGACCAGCCTGGCCAACACGGTGAAACCCCCTCTCTACTAAAAATACAAGAATTAGCTGGCCTTGGTGGCGGGTGCCTGTAATCCCAGCTACTTGGGAGGCTGAGGCAGGAGAACTGCTTTAACCCAGGAGGCAGAGGTTGCAGTGAGCTGAGATCATGCCACTGCACTCCAGCCTGGGCGACAGAGTGAGACTCCATCTCAAAAAAAAGAAAAAAAAAAAAAAGAAAATCCAAATGCCCAAGTTCCCAATAAACCAAGGTACCCCAATGGGTATGAGGTTTCTGGGGCTGCGCTCCACCCACCCCGACAGCTACTGAACCCGTGGCCTCATGGGCCTCTGCACGGCTGGAACCCACCTGGCCCGGCTCCGCCCCCACACTAGCCCTGCTGTTCATTGGTCATAACTCCTCTTGGTTGCCAGTTATTGAAACCCAATTTAAACTGGATTAAGAGGAAACAAAAGAAGGGATTTTTGGAAGTTTCAAGCTACCACAGAAATGGCAGGGGTGTGGGGGGTGTCAGAAACACCTGTCACTAGGCCTGGCATGGGCCCTGGCTGTCTCCTCCTCTCGGCTGGGTTCTTCCCAGCCTTGTTTCCTCACACTGGCTTCTTCACGTAGCGGGAAACACATGTTCACATCTCTGAGCGTCATGACCAAAGAGTCAGGGCTTGCTCCTGTGTTCCCAGGGAAGAACTTAGACCAAGAGCCTGTCCTTGGACGGAGTGACTAGGGCCTGAGGAAGGGGCAGGAGAGGAGGCCACCTGGAGGGAGTGTTCCTCCCTGTGCTGGGCGGGGCAGCCTGGGCCTTGAGGAGTCCACAGCTCCCCTCACATCACACACTTGGAGGAAGAGTAAATGTCCCCGGAGGAAGAGTAAATGTCCCCGGAGAAAGGGGTTGCTGTCATGCGTACGCGAATCCTCCATGCCTGCGGTAGCCAAGCAAGCAGATCTCTGCAAATGTGTCTCCATCCACGGCCCAGGAGAGGGGCCACATCACCGGGCATGCAGCAGGAGCTATCTATTTAATATATTGCAACTCACTGCATGCAATGATTCCAATCAATAGGGGGCTTTCTGTGAATTTTGTTTAAAATAGTATTTATTTCAAAGTTATCACTACCTCACAAGTATTTTAGCAACTATTTATTTAAAAGTATCTTCTTGATGCAAAAAAAAAAAAAGACAAAGAAAAAGAAACTGTGAGCTTAAACATATTTGAATGGAGAGGAGGAATTCATTTGAAGTTAGTTTGATGGATTAGCTTGAAGTCACAGCAGAGGCTGATTTTAAAGTGACAGCAGCTCTCTCCCCATCTCCTCTCACAGCCTGCCCAGGGCAGCATGGAGGAAGGGGAGGAGTAGGAGCAGGGGAGGAGGAGGAGAAGGAGGAGGAGGAGGAAGAGGAGGAGGAGGAGGAGGAAGAGGAGGAGGAGGAGGAGGAGGAGGAGGAGATCTGCCTTGGGTGAGATCAGGCCAGGGCTGAACCTGTGAGATTCAAATTGGGGCTTCGTTGTTTGTGTACATTCTTGTGAAGTCATTTCTGGGACTTCGTCCCTCCCCACCTTGCTTGCTGTTGGCTGTCTCAAGGGATTTCAGGGACCTGGGAACTGTGAAGAATGTGCTGCTTGTGAACTTCACCTGTCACATGTTCTGGGAGGGGAGCAGGGAGGGAAGAACAGCTGCACAGTCCTGCCGAGGACACATTCATTCTCAGTTCTTGCCTAAGTTTCCAGGGACTACATCACTGAGGGCCACCCCCTTCTCTCCCACCCTTGCCACTGTAGGAAACTTCAGGTGTCTTGGTCCACCCAGCATTCAAACTCCTGGCTGGAAGGAGCTAGCGAAGGCCTGGGAAGCTGCAGGAAGGGATCTGGTGCTGAGCCTCCAGGCCACTGAGCCCAGAGTCACACCTGGCCAGCTTCCTCTCATTTCCTTCCTTCTGTGCTGAGGCCTCAGTTTCTCAATTCACCAAGACCACTTGCTGCCCCAAGGGGCTTCCCTTGTGTCCTTGGTCCTGCAGACAGAGCACAACCCTGGAGCTGCCCTTGCGGGCTCTACCATGTGTGGCTGTCCCACGCGGCTCTTCCCTACGCGAGGGCCCTAAATCCAGAAGGAATGGGTGGGCCCAGAGCAAAAGGTGTGATGGGATTTCCTCATAGACATCTGAATTGAGTAAGAGTCTTCTCAGTGGAGAGACATCCAGCCTTCAAGAGCTTTGGACATTTCCTTATGAAAGAGACTTGAAATTGAGGAACAGCAGGGAGATGAGAGAGGACTGGACTTGTTCTCTAGAGAGCAGCTTTTGGGTTGGTGACTGGAGGTGGGCACAGGGGAGGTGCAAGAGCAGCCCACCCCCTCCTCCTTCCTGCCCTTCAAAATGCCCAGTGCTGCCCTGCAAACGCTGGAACTGTGGGATGATCAGCCAGCCCTTGCAAGGCCTCTGCTTCCAGATAAAAGAGAAGGAGAGTCCCAGTGAGGCACTTGAGGAGAAAGAGAAGAGCCTGGGGAAGGTGATGTGCTGTTTTGAAATTATCTGACAGTTACTGAACCATGTGATCCATTTCCCTGACATTCTGACACAAAAGTCTTTGAGCATAACTTACAATATTGTTTCGTTTTTTTTTTTTTTTTTAGACGGAGTCTTGCTCTGTCGCCCAGGCTGGAGTGCAGTGGTGCAGTCTTGGCTCACTGCAAGCTCTGCCTCCTGGGTTCACGCCATTCTCCTGCCTCAGCCTCCCGAGTAGCTGGGACTACAGGCGCCCACCACCACGCCCGGCTAATTTTTTTGTATTTTTAGGAGAGATGGGGTTTCACCATATTAGCCAGGATGGTCTCGATCTCCTGACCTCGTGATCCACCCGCCTCGGCCTCCCAAAGTGCTGGGATTACAGGCGTGAGCCACGGCGCCCAGCCAATATTGTTTCTTAAAATGAAGGAGGCATAAAAAAATCTCTTGAGCTTTTGTTCACACAGATTCCTTAGCAATTCCAGCTGAGTTGGCCGAGCCTGGGCGTCGCGTTCTGCATTTCTCATGGGCTCAGGTTGCTGGCTGCTGGTCCGGGCACCGCACTCTGGGCAGCACTGGCTGAAAGCGTGGGGCTGGTGGTCCTGCGGGGTCGTAGATGTGTCACCCACCTGGAGGGCAGCTCGTACTCCTAGTTCAAGCCTGACTTGCGGAAAGTTTTGCAAAGATTTCATAAGCCTCGCTGTTGTGACACCCCGTCTGTTCTCTTTCCAGTTCTGTGTCACGGTGACAACCCACAGGTCAGAGGAAACTAGAAAAGAGGTTTCTGGTATGAACTGTCCTGAGGGCTCCTCTCCTCTGCTATTTCACGATTTCCGCACCATCACCGGGTTCAGCAGTATTCTTTGATGATCCTGAGTTCTCTAAATTTAGCTTCTCAATCAAGCCTGTTTCTGGTTACTGGAATGGGCAGATGGAGTGGGAAGACAGGCAGTAACAGACCCTTCTAAATCTACCAAAGGGGCCAAGACAACTCCTGCTTACAAAAGGCAGCACGTCCATCAAAATCTGTGGCCATCCAGGTCTGCTCTCTCCCAAGGAGGAAGGAGCCAAGGTTTCTCCAAAGAGGAAGAAAAGGAGACAGGGGGAGAGGAAGGCACAGGGCACACTGCTCACTTTCCCACTGGAGTTCATTCCATGCCCATTTGAATATCATGTGAGCTAATGAAACAATTCTGACTTCCATAGCATCTGGCTTCTGAAAACCGCTAATATTTCTTAATGCTTTCCCATGTAAACAGTCAAAATAATCGTGCCTTAATTTAAATAGCACTTGACAGTTGATAGTATATTTTTATCTGCATATCTTACTTGATTTTCATAAGAAACTTCCAGTGTAAAAGTGGCCCTGCCAAAAAATAAAAGTGAACCTAGAAGTCATTGTTATACCCACTTCCAAGCTGAGAAAATCGAGGCCTGAATGAGTGAAGTGACTTACCAGAGATTGAACAATGGCCTTGTCTCAAAAGCCAGTTTTCTCAACATGGAAGCTTGTTGGAAGGATGTAAAATATGTATTTAATGACTCATTAGCAAAATGGAGATTTTCCTTTAAGTAGTTCTTATGATACAGATAACAACTATGTTTTGTTGTTGTTGGTTTATTTATTTATTTATTTATTTATTTACTTACTTTTTTGAGATGGAGTCTCACTCTGTCGCCCAGGCTGGGGTGCAATGGCACAATCTTGGCTCACTGCAAGCTCCGCCTCCCAGGTTCAAGCAATTCTCCTGCCTCAACCTCCTGAGTAGCTGGGATTACAGGTGCACGCCACCATGGCTGGCTAATTTTCGTATTTTTAGTAGAGACAGGGTTTCACCATGTTGGTCAGGTTGGTCTCGAACTCCTGACCTCACGATCCACCCGCCTCAGCAACAACAATGTATTTTTAAACTGCATGAGTTTGTAGAGATTATTGTAATCTATCCTCCTTTAAGAGATAAGGAAACTGAGGCTTAGAGAGGCTGAAATACTATGATCCAGAAGTTGTCCAAATCTGTTTTATGATTTATGACCTTAAGCACGTTAATTATATTTTAAAATTCTACTTCATTAAAACATCATGGGAAGGTACAGCAACACGACATTTGCAATGAGGTTATTGCATAAACAATCATAAGGCAGAAGGGATGTGAATCCTGTTTTTAGTGCACTAGTAGGAAATTCATACCACATCCTAAGCTACTCCAGTCATTCCACTGTGCAAACCAGAGCATGAAAAATGATCTCGGCTCATGACTAATCCACTGCCCTGAGCCTGGGGACGTTCACACCTACACTATCTGTGACATGGAATTGTCTATTCTTGAAAAGCATCGTCTTCTGTAGCGGGGAAAGTCAGTTAAGCAATTACTTGCTGAAAAGCTACTAGGAGCCAAACATTGTGGAATGAACATGACTATGACTATGCTTGCCCTCAGAAGGCTTATAACCCACAGCCAAAAAGACAGAACCTATGCAGTGTGATGTGAGCAGAGGAAGGAGAGACTTAATGAAGTGGATGGTTAGGTGAAGACTTCACATTTTTTTTATAGATCATGGGGGCAGAATTTCAAAAAAATTAGAGAATGGAAGAAATATGGAATTCTAATTCAGATAGTTTCTGCTTCAAAGTTGGCTAGTCATACAGATGGCAGTTGAGTAACTTCATGCAGAGTAAAGAAATACCACACCCAGGACTTTGCAGGTTGCTCAAGCAGATGGCCACATGGACCCTGGCTTCCTCAGAGCCTACTGTGACTAGAGCACAACCAGTACAAGTGACAAGAGACCCGCCCCATGTGTGCACTTGCTACTCAAGCTTCTGACATTCACCATTCCCCACACTTGGGGAATCTCATACCAGAAAGTCTATTCTTGGCCCAACAGACTTTCTGTTCCACTGTACTTGTCTCAACTACCTGCAACAGTGAGGAGGCGATGAGACAGGTAGAGAATTTGCAGGCTACGGAGTGGAATTCGTATATTTTATTCCTCAGTAAGGAGCCAAATGAGTAAGAAGGCGTGTTTTCACCGGAAGCCACAAGCTAAAGCAAAATAGGCAAGAAGCATAAACGGACTTGCTCAAAAGCCTCTCTCTTTCCTCAGAGCCCAGCTAGCCCACGTGTGCCTTTGTGAGACAGAAAAAGACATCCTCTCCTCTGGATTTCTGCCTGCTCACTGTCGGCCCTCAGCCAGGCCCCCTGGGCCTTGCCCTGCCCACACAGCCACACAGCAGCCATGTTCCCCACCCATGCAGCAATTTCAAGTGTGGATGACAAACACCTGGAGAGAAGCAGCAGCTGGTGTCAGAAGGAATGACAGGGGAGGGGGACAAAGGAGGCAAGCCCAGGTGGCATGGAGACTCAGGACCTCCTTAAGGCCTCATAAGTCACTGAATGTGTTTAGAGCAAGGAAGAAAAGATAAATGACAGCTACAGGTAGAGAGGCAGGAGATGAGTCTGAAAAGAGCCTGTTTGCCACCAAAAACTTATTTCTAGGCTATTGATGGCAGGTCACATAGCACGGTGAAGTTGTTCTCAAAGTGTGGTCCGTGTGGACCAGCCCCGTTAGCACCACCTGAGAACTTATAGTTGGAAACACAAATTCTTAGGCCCCATTGAAGATGGACTGAATTAGAAATTCTGGGATTTTTAGCGAGTCCTCCAGGTGATTCTGATGCATGTAAGAACCTGGAGCCACTGGCAAGGTGGCCGGGCAGGGCCGGCTCTGGGGGTTTCCATCCTGCTGACTCTCAGGAAGTCACTTTGCCATCTTAAGTTGTGTGCGCCTTTTCTCCATGTAAAATAGACGTACTAACAGCACCGGCTTATATAGTCTTTTTGGAAATTGAGATCACATATGGAAAACATTTTGCATGGTGCCCAGCATATGGCAGGCAGGGAATACATGTTTGCAATTACTGCTGCCAGCCAAAATGAAGCAGCAAGTGTGCTTGGAAGACTGCAGGCCTCCGCAGTCCCCAAGTTCAGCCTGTCCCCTGAGCGAAGAAAATGAAAGAGATGCAGGCTGGCGTCCAGGGAGAGCCCAGAGGGAGAGAGCAGTGCCCGGTCCATAACCACCTAAGGCCCTGGAACACCACAATGGCTCAGAGCCCAGGTGAGCAATAGCACCTGGGGCTGCACAGCGCTGGGCTGGGAAGCTTAGCCTGAGGGCTCAGCGCAGGCTTTGAGAGGAAAGCGATGCTTGAACTGGGGTGGGGAGAATGAGTCATGGCAATACCCAGCATGTATGGACTGTGTGCCGGACATGACTTTGAGCAATGCCAGATTTGAATCATGTAATCTCCATTGTGATTAAGTAATATTTTGATACCCATTTTAAAGATGAGGGAAAAGAAAATAACCTTGACCAAGGTCACGGGGTGAGGTGGCTCAGATAGGATTTGAACCCGAGCAGACAGACTCCTGGACCCACGCACCTCACCAAGTGTGGTTGGCTAGCGAGCCGAAAGAACCCTGGAGGCAGGGTGCTGAAGGAGGGGAGAGTGGTGTGAGGCTCTCTGTTTCTCTTATTAAATCCAGTTCTAGGCCGGGCACGGTGGCTCATGCCTGTAATCCCAGCACTTTGGGAGGCTGAGGTGGGTGAATCACCTGAGGTCAGGAGTTCGAGACCAGCCTGACCAACATGGTGAAACCCTGTCTCTACTAAAAATACAAAAATGAGCTGGGCATGGTGGCAGGTGCCTGTAATTCCAGCTACTCGGGAGGCTGAGGCAGGAGAACTGCTTGAATCTGGGAGGCAGAGGTTGCAGTGAGCCGAGATTGCACCACTGCACTCTAGCCTGGGCGACAGAGTGAGACTCCATCTCAAAAATAAAATAAAATATAATAAATAAATCCAGCTACTAGGTGTCTGGTGTGTCCTACCCTCTGTGGATGGCACGGCTGGTGGGGTGCACCACCGGAAGGGTGCAGCTCCCTGGTGGTGGCTCCAACTCAACCATGAAAAGTCATACGCTAAGAGACTAATTCTGCATGTAAGAAATCATGTGAGGGGGTGAGAAACAGCAAGCTATAAACAGATGGTGTAGTCATACATACACACACACACACACACACACACACACACACTCATTGGAAAAAATTCCCAAAGGACATACACTAAAATGTTTACAGTGGTTATCACTGAGAAAAAATATTAAATGTTAAAGTTGATTTTTACTATCTTTTATCTGCTTTTTTTTTTTTTTGCATCTGCTCCTGTACCTATGTGCAATGATCATGTATTACTTTTGCAATCAGACAAATACATAAGCTCTACTTTAAAACTGTTTATTTATCTACCAGGTTAACGACAAATACTGAAACTCAGTCTTGGCCTGAACCTGGTGACCTGGAGCTGGTGGAAGGCCTGGTGAGAGACAGCTCAGACACTGGCTCACTCTTTCCTGGCTGAAGCCTGACTCCTGGTGGACAGAAACATCAGCGACAGACTTCTATTTTCAAACGTCTACATACACATCTTAGGGAAAGTTTATTTATCCCCTCATTTTGTCATTCAACAAATATGTACTGATCACATTCTACATGCCAAGCATGATGGGAATGTAAAAATAAATTTGAGATGACGTCTTTGAGGAAAACGGCTTCTCTCTACTTTCGTTCGCATTTTCTTGTGTTTCAATAGTAGGGTATAGTGTGGTAGTTTTCTTCATGTAAGTCCTACTCCTCAGTTACAATTCAGTTTCTTTCCAGGTTGCTACTGAGAATGGAATATTCTTCTTGGTGTCTTTTCTGATTACAGTAGTGGCCCGGAAGCTATGGATTTTCATGGGTTGTTTCCATGTGGCCACTTTACTGGACTGTTAGCTGTTCGGACTCTTCTTCTTGGCTCTCAAGGTATACAATCACACAGAAAGAATTTTGTTTCTCCTAAAATAGAGCAGTAGTAGTTCTCATTTCAGAGATCTGTGCACACTGGGTATTCTCCACCCTTCTCGCCTGGCTTTTTAACCAGGGAAACTTCTGGTTGGTCCTGCTAGTGGGAGGGACTGGCAGGAGATGAGGGCAAGAGAGAGAGGATTCAGACCATGCATTTCCTTCTCCTACCCCCAGGTTCCCTACTCAAGAGGTGCAGCAGCTGCTGAGTTCTTTGCCTCCACTCAGGGCCGCAGTTCCTGTCTGAAGGCTGCCGGCCACCTCCTGCTCTCCCAGGGCTCCCTGCCTGCTCCCACCCCTTGCCTCTCAGGCCTTGCCAGGGAATTGCTTCTCACCTTGTGTTGGTCCCCTGAACCTCCCCTATACCTCTCTAATACTTGTGATCCCTGATTAAAAGTTTCTCAGTGGCCTGAGGGGATCATCTGCATCCTCCCCGGAGCCTGACTGGCTTTAGAGCTTCAAAACATTTAGTTTTAAATGATTGGTTTTTATGAAGATTTGTTAACTCTATTAAAAATATTTACTTCTGTTTGGTTTCTGCTTAAGTTATAAATGCCTTTGTGGGCTCAAACTGCCTGGAACTGCATCTATGAATGTGTAGTAGTGCTTTCAAACTGTAGTCGCTACACAAAGGTTAATTCATCAAAAAGTAAGAGATCCATGGCATTTATATGAAAGTATAGGAAAATCATCCTTTCTAATATAACATCAGTATCAAAAGGCCGGTTCTCTCATTTGGAATTAATTGATAACATTGTCCAGGTTTGATGACTTGTATCTGGAAAAGATGAGTTAACATCCATTCTTGTTGTAACAATTGGAACAAATCTCTGCAAGTCACTATTCTTACTGTTCTTAAACTCAGGTTTGGCTGTTATGAGGGTGAACAAAACTACCAAATACACTTGGAACATAAGGAATAAATTGTGTTTGGTGGTTATGTTGCTTTTTCAGAATCAGTACATAACTTGTGATATTTATTTATTTACTTATTTATTATTATTTTTTAAGATGGAGTCTCACTCTGTCACCTAGCCTGGAGTGCAGTGGCGCGATCTCGGCTCACTGCAACCTCCACCTCCCAGGTTCAAGCGATTCTCCTGCCTCAGGCTCCTGAGTAGCTGAGATTACAGGTGTGCGCCACCACACCCAGCCAATTTTTATATACTTAATAGAAACGACGTTTCACCATGTTGCCCAGGCTGGTCTCAAACTCCTGATCTCAAGTGACCTGCCCGCCTCAGCCTCCCAAAGTGCTGGGATTACAGGTGTGTGCCACCGCACCTGGCCCATAACTTGTGGTATTTAAATGGCATCATATGGAAGGGCTGCCCCCAATTGTTGAATACTACTGTAAACAGGCAAGAGATGTGCCTCCCTCACCAGAAACTCTGACTCACTGCATTAGTTTTTCCCAGGGTTTAGCTAATGGTGTAAACTTTCAGTCATGCTCACTGTGGTATGTGAGAGGTATTCATTCAGGCAGTGAATATCTGCTTTAAAAACTTTAAAAATCTGCTTTCACAAAATAAGATTCTTTGAAACCAAAAAACAAGCATTTGCAAACTTTCAAGCTTGATTTTACAGTTACAGAAAGTTGGCTGCTCAGTGCCCCGCTGCTGGATACAGCAGAAAGTGTGCTGCAGGCTCTCCCCAGCACCGCGTGCTCCAGCACAGGCCCCGTGTCCGCGTTACACACTGTGTTCAGGGCCGCATGTCTAATAGGATGATGGATCTCAAAAAGCCCTCATCACTTATCTGTTGGCTTGAGTTACGATGCTCACATATCGTCCTGGCATAAATTCACACCTGTGCCTTGACCACCACTGGGATCCGTCCCTTGGGAAACTGGCAGGAGTGAGTCATGACGGAAAAGCTTGTTGAGGAGTTAATGTCACCTCCGGTTACATCACAAGCACACTTCTTATTTGGAAGTAACTCCATCCCCCAACAAAAATTTTTTTTTTTTTTTTTTTTTTGAGACGGAGTCTCGCTCTGTCGCCCAGGCTGGACTGCGGACTGCAGTGGCGCAATCTCGGCTCACTGCAAGCTCCGCTTCCCGGGTTCACGCCATTCTCCTGCCTTAGCCTCCCGAGTAGCTGGGACTACAGGCGCCCGCCACCGCGCCCGGCTAATTTTTTGTATTTTTAGTAGAGACGGGGTTTCACCTTGTTAGCCAGGATGGTCTCGATCTCCTGACCTCGTGATCCACCTGCCTTGGCCTCCCAAAGTGCTGGGATTACAGGTGTGAGCCACCACGCCTGGCCTGTAAAAATGTTATTTTTAAAGAATCAAAATTGGCCAGGCACAGTGGCTCATGCCTGTAATCCTAGCATTTTGGGAGGCTGAGGCAGGCGGATTGCCTGAGCTCAGGAGTTCGAGACCAGCCTGGGCAAGACAGTAAAACCTTGTCTTTACTAAAATACAAAAAAATTAGCCAGGCGTGGTGGTGTGTGCCTGTAGTCCCAGCTACTCAGGAGGCTGAGGCAGGAGAAGTGCTTGAACCCAGGAGGTGGAGGTTGCAGTGAGCCGAGATCGCGTCATTGCACTCCAGCCTGGGCAAAAGAGCACAAGCCTCCGTCTCCAAAAAAAAAAAAAAAAAAATCAAGAAAAAACTGGGCTATACATTTCTTAATGAAATACTAGTAAAGATAATGGATTGGACCCACATGTGATTTTATTTCCTCCTAAGCCTCCACCAAAAATACAGTAAAGGAATCCTTAAAATCCATCAATCCTTGAAAGTGAGGAGAACAAGTGAGATAATGGCAACATGATGCTGGAGGTGGAAACATGGCGGGCAAATGGTAACTGACCTGGCAAGTCGAGTGGGGAATGCCAAGGCATCAACGTGGCAGACGTCTCAGAGGCTTGGGAGGTGGCAGCAGGTAAGGAAGAGGAAGATGGGTCTCCAGACACCCTCTCCTACTCCAGGCCAGGGGAAGATCTCTGAACCAGAGGGGCCCAGATAGAGCCAGGGGCTTGGGTACCATTTCAGTCAGAAGATCAAAGTGGTAGGCACATACTGAGTGATGTATGACGACTTTCCTCTTTCCCCACCTGGCGCTGAGAACGCAGGGAGCCATGCCTTGACCTACTTGACTGAAAAGATGAGCCTGACCCTACCTACCGTCTAGTCCCAACACTGCGGCAAGGGATCCCTATAACATCAAAGTCTCATCATGACACTCTTTGAGGGAAACCTTGAGTAAAAGCCAAAGTCCTTCCCATGACCTAAAAGGTCCCACCTTATCTGAAGCTCCATGATCCTCGGCCTCGACTTCTACCACTCTTTCCTCCCCTCCGGCTAGACTGGTCTCCTTACTGGATGCTGAACCCACCCAGCCTTCCATCCTCCCTCGGCGCCTTTGCACTTGCTTTTCCCTCTGCCTGGGATGATCCTTTCCCGGGTGTCTGAAAGGCACATTCACTTCCTTGAAGTCTTGACTCAAACACTTTCTTGGTGAGATCCACCTTGGCTACTCTACTAAAACTGCACCCATACCTCCCCTTTCCATATTCAATCTTTCATTCATTTTCTCCTTAGCATAGCACTTATCACTATTTGGCATATTAACATATTATTTTTCATACCATAGGCTTTAAGAACACAGAATTTTTGG